>NC_000006.12:59153888-59439414 GCF_000001405.40 Homo sapiens
AGAGTCTTCTTTGTGATGTGTGCTTTCAACTCACCGAGTATAAAGATTTCTCTTGATAGAGCAATTTGGAAACACTCTTTTTGTAGAATTTGCAAGGGTACATTGAGAGCGCTTTCAGGCCTATGGTAGAAAAGGGAATATCTTTCCATAAAAGGTAGACAGAAGCAATCTCAGAAACTACTTTGTGATGTGTGCATTCAACTCACCGAGTGCAACATTCCTCTTGATAGAGCAGTTTGGAAACATTGTTTCTGTAGAATCTGCAAGTGGATATATGGACCGGCTTTGAGGCCTTCGTTGGAAACGGGATTTCTTCCTATAAACCCAGACAGAAGAATTCTCAGAGATTTCTTTGTGATGTGTGAATTCAACTCACAGTGTGGATCCTTCCTTTTGATAGAGCAGTTTTGAAACACTGTTTTTGTAGTATTTCCAAGCGGATATTTGGAACGCCTTGAAGCGTATGGTAGAAAAGGAAATATCTTCCCATAAAACCTAGACAGAACCCATCTCAGAAACGACTTTGTGATGTCTGCATTCAACTCACAGAGTTGAACATTTCTCTTGATAGAGCAGTTTTGAAACCCTCTTTCTGAAGGATCTGCAAGTGGATATTTGGAACTCCTTTGGGTCTTCGTTGGAAACGGGATTTCTTCGTATAAATCCAGACAGAAGAATTCTCCGAAACTTCTTTGGTTGTGTGCATTCAAGTCACAGAGTGGAACCTTCCTTTGGATAGAGCAGTTTGAAACGCTGTGGTTGTAGTATTTCTAAGCGGATATTAGAGCGCCTTGAAGCCTATGGTAGAAAAGGAAATATCTTCCCATAAAACCTAGACGGAAGCAATCTCAGAAACTACTGTGTGATGGCTGCATTCCACACACACGGTGGAACATTTCTCTTGATAGAGCAGTTTTGAAACACTCTTTCTGTAGAATCTGCAAGTGGATAATTGGACCGCCTTGAGGCCTTCGTTGGAAACAGGATTTCTTCATGTTACTCTAGACAGAAGAATTCTCAAACACTGCTATGTGATGTTTGCATTCAAGTCACAGAGTGCAACATTCCTCTTGATAGAGCAGTTGGGAAACACTCCTTTTGTAGAATTTGCAATGGGATATTTGGACTTCTTTGAGGCCTTCGTTGGAAACGGGATTTCTTCGTATGAATCTAGACAGAAGAATTCTCAGAAACTTCCTTGTGATGTGTGCATTCAACTCAGCGAGTGGCACCTTCCTTTGGATACAGCAGTTTTGAAACACTGTTTTTGTAGTATTTCCAAGCGGATATTTAGAGCGCCTTGAAGCCTATGCTAGAAATGGAAATATCTCCCCATAAAACCAAGACAGAAGCAATCTCAGAAACTAATGTGTGATGGCTGCATTCCACACACACGGTGGACCATTTCTCTTGATAGAGCAGTTTTGAAACACTCTTTCTGTAGAATCTGCAAGTGGATAATTGGACCTCCTAGAGGCCTTCGTTGGAAACGGGATTTCTTCATCTAAACCTACAGAGAAGAATTCTCAGTAACTTCTTCGGATGTGTGCATTCGAATCACAGAATGGAACATTCCCTTTGATAGAGCAGTTTTGAGACACCGTTTTTGTAGAATTCCCAAGTGGATATTTAGAGCACTTTGAAGTCTCTGCTAGAAAAGGAAACATCTTCATGTAAAAAGTAGATAGAATCGTTCTCAGAAAGTGCTTAGTGACGTGTGCGTTCAACTCACAGAGTTTAACGTTTCTTTTGATAGAGCGTTTCTGAAACACCCTTCTTGTAGTAGCTGCAAGTGGATATTTGGACCTATTTGAGGCCTTCTTTGGAAACGGGATTTCTTCATGTAACTCTAGATTGAAGAATTTTCAGAAACTCCTTTGTGATGTGTGCATTCAATTCAAAGAGTGAAACCTCCCTTTTCACAGAGCAGTTTTGAAACACTGTTTTTGTAGGACTTCCAAGGGGATATTTATAGCGCATTGATCCTATGGCAGAAAAAGAAACATCTTCCTATAAAAACTAGACAGAATAATTCTCACAATCTGCTTTGCGATGTGTGTGTTCAACCCACAGAGTAAAACTTTTCTTTTGATAGAGCAGTTTTGAAACAGTCTTTTTGTAGTATTTGCATGTGTATATTTAGAGCGCATTGAAGCACACAGTAGAAAAGGAAATAACTTCACCTAAAACCTAGACAGAAGCAATCTCAGAAACTACTTTGTGATGTGTACATTCAACTCACAGAGTGGAACTTTCCTCTTTATAGAGCAGTGTTGAAACACTCTTTTTGTAGAAACTGCAAGTGGATATTTGGACCTCTTTGAGGCCTTCGTTGGAAACGGGATTTCTTCCTATAACCCTAGACAGAAGAATTTTCAGAAACCTCATTGTGATGTGTGCGTTCATCTCACAGAGTGGAGTCTTCCGTTTGATAGAGAAGTTTTGAAACCCTGTTCTTGTAGGATTTCCAAGTGGATATTTAGACCACTTTGAAGCCTATGATAGAAAAGGAAACATCTTCATGGAAAACATAGATAGAATCATTCTCAGAAACAACTTTGTGATGTGTGCGTTGAACTCACAGTCTTTAACCTTTCTTTTGGTAGAGAAGTTTTGAAACACTCTCTTTGTAAAGTCTACAAGTGGATATTTTGGGCCCTTGGAGGCATTCTTTGGAAAAGGGAATGTCTTCACATAAAAGGCAGACAGAAGTGTTCTCAGAAACTGCTTTGTGATGTCTGTGTTCAACTCACAGAGTTTAACATTTTCCTTTGAGAGAGCGGTTTAGTAACACTCTCTTTGTAGAATTTGGAAGTGTATACTAAGAGCGCTTTGAGGCCTATGGTAGAAAAGGAAATATCTTTCCATAAAAGCTAGACAGAAGCAATCTCAGAAACTCCTTTGTGATGTCTGCATTCAACTCACCGAGTGGAACATTCCTCTTGATAGAGCAGTTTGGAAACACTCTTTCTGTAGAATCAGCTTGTTTGTATTTGGACCTCCTTGAGGCCTTCGTTGGAAACGGGTTTTCATCTTATAAACCCAGACAGAAGAATTCTCAGAGTCTTCTTTGTGATGTGTGCTTTCAACTCACCGAGATAAAGATTTCTCTTGATAGAGCAATTTGGAAACACTCTTTTTGTAGAATTTGCAAGGGTACATTGAGAGCGCTTTCAGGCCTATGGTAGAAAAGGGAATATCTTTCCATAAAAGGTAGACAGAAGCAATCTCAGAAACTACTTTGTGATGTGTGCATTCAACTCACCGAGTGCAACATTCCTCTTGATAGAGCAGTTTGGAAACATTGTTTCTGTAGAATCTGCAAGTGGATATTTGGACCTCTTTGAGGCCTTCGTTGGAAACGGGATTTCTTCCTATAAACCCAGACAGAAGAATTCTCAGAGACTTCTTTGTGATGTGTGAATTCAACTCACAGTGTGGATCCTTCCTTTTGATAGAGCAGTTTTGAAACACTGTTTTTGTAGTATTTCCAAGCGGATATTTGGAACGCCTTGAAGCGTATGGTAGAAAAGGAAATATCTTCCCATAAAACCTAGACAGAACCAATCTCAGAAACGACTTTGTGATGTCTGCATTCAACTCACAGAGTTGAACATTTCTCTTGATAGAGCAGTTTTGAAACCCTCTTTCTGAAGGATCTGCAAGTGGATATTTGGAACTCCTTTGGGTCTTCGTTGGAAACGGGATTTCTTCGTATAAATCTAGACAGAAGAATTCTCCGAAACTTCTTTGGTTGTGTGCATTCAACTCACAGAGTGGAACCTTCCTTTGGATAGAGCAGTTTGAAACGCTGTGGTTGTAGTATTTCCAAGCGGATATTAGAGCGCCTTGAGGCCTATGGTAGAAAAGGAAATATCTTCCCATAAAACCTAGACGGAAGCAATCTCAGAAACTACTGTGTGATGGCTGCATTCCACACACACGGTGGAACATTTCTCTTGATAGAGCAGTTTTGAAACACTCTTTCTGTAGAATCTGCAAGTGGATAATTGGACCGCCTTGAGGCCTTCGTTGGAAACGGGATTTCTTCATGTTACTCTAGACAGAAGAATTCTCAAACACTGCTGTGTGATGTTTGCATGCAAGTCACAGAGTGCAACATTCCTCTTGATAGAGCAGTTGGGAAACACTCCTTTTGTAGAATTTGCAATGGGATATTTGGACTTCTTTGAGGCCTTCGTTGGAAACGGGATTTCTTCGTATGAATCTAGACAGAAGAATTCTCAGAAACTTCCTTGTGATGTGTGCATTCAACTCAGCGAGTGGCACCTTCCTTTGGATACAGCAGTTTTGAAACACTGTTTTTGTAGTATTTCCAAGCGGATATTTAGAGCGCCTTGAAGCCTATGCTAGAAATGGAAATATCTCCCCATAAAACCAAGACAGAAGCAATCTCAGAAACTAATGTGTGATGGCTGCATTCCACACACACGGTGGACCATTTCTCTTGATAGAGCAGTTTTGAAACACTCTTTCTGTAGAATCTGCAAGTGGATAATTGGACCTCCTAGAGGCCTTCGTTGGAAACGGGATTTCTTCATCTAAACCTACAGAGAAGAATTCTCAGTAACTTCTTCGGATGTGTGCATTCGACTCACAGAATGGAACATTCCCTTTGATAGAGCAGTTTTGAGACACCGTTTTTGTAGAATTCCCAAGTGGATATTTAGAGCACTTTGAAGTCTCTGCTAGAAAAGGAAACATCTTCATGTAAAAAGTAGATAGAATCGTTCTCAGAAAGTGCTTAGTGACGTGTGTGTTCAACTCACAGAGTTTAACGTTTCTTTTGATAGAGCGTTTCTGAAACACCCTTCTTGTAGTAGCTGCAAGTGGATATTTGGACCTATTTGAGGCCTTCTTTGGAAACGGGATTTCTTCATGTAACTCTAGATTGAAGAATTTTCAGAAACTCCTTTGGGATGTGTGCATTCAATTCAAAGAGTGAAACCTCCCTTTTCACAGAGCAGTTTTGAAACACTGTTTTTGTAGGACTTCCAAGGGGATATTTATAGCGCATTGATCCTATGGCAGACAAAGAAACATCTTCCTATAAAAACTAGACAGAATAATTCTCAGAATCTGCTTTGCGATGTGTGCGTTCAACCCACAGAGTAAAACTTTTCTTTTGATAGAGCAGTTTTGAAACACTCTTTTTGTAGTATTTGCATGTGTATATTTAGAGCGCATTGAAGCCCACAGTAGAAAAGGAAATAACTTCACCTAAAACCTAGACAGAAGCAATCTCAGAAACTACTTTGTGATGTGTACATTCAACTCACAGAGTGGAACTTTTCTCTTTATAGAGCAGTGTTGAAACACTCTTTTTGTAGAAACTGCAAGTGGATATTTGGACCTCTTTGAGGCCTTCGTTGGAAACGGGATTTCTTCCTATAACCCTAGACAGAAGAATTTTCAGAAACCTCATTGTGATGTGTGCGTTCATCTCACAGAGTGGAGTCTTCCGTTTGATAGAGAAGTTTTGAAACCCTGTTCTTGTAGGATTTCCAAGTGGATATTTAGACCACTTTGAAGCCTATGATAGAAAAGGAAACATCTTCATGGAAAACATAGATAGAATCATTCTCAGAAACAACTTTGTGATGTGTGCGTTGAACTCACCGTCTTTAACCTTTCTTTTGGTAGAGAAGTTTTGAAACACTCTCTTTGTAAAGTCTACAAGTGGATATTTTGAGCCCTTGGAGGCATTCTTTGGAAAAGGGAATGTCTTCACATAAAAGGCAGACAGAAGTGTTCTCAGAAACTGCTTTGTGATGTCTGTGTTCAACTCACAGAGTTTAACATTTCCTTTGAGAGAGCGGTTTAGTAACACTCTCTTTGTAGAATTTGGAAGTGTATACTAAGAGCGCTTTGAGGCCTATGGTAGAAAAGGAAATATCTTTCCATAAAAGCTAGACAGAAGCAATCTCAGAAACTCCTTTGTGATGTCTGCATTCAACTCACCGAGTGGAACATTCCTCTTGATAGAGCAGTTTGGAAACACTCTTTCTGTAGAATCAGCTTGTTTGTATTTGGACCTCCTTGAGGCCTTCGTTGGAAACGGGTTTTCATCTTATAAACCCAGACAGAAGAATTCTCAGAGTCTTCTTTGTGATGTGTGCTTTCAACTCACCGAGATAAAGATTTCTCTTGATAGAGCAATTTGGAAACACTCTTTTTGTAGAATTTGCAAGGGTACATTGAGAGCGCTTTCAGGCCTATGGTAGAAAAGGGAATCTCTTTCCATAAAAGGTAGACAGAAGCAATCTCAGAAACTACTTTGTGATGTGTGCATTCAACTCACCGAGTGCAACATTCCTCTTGATAGAGCAGTTTGGAAACATTGTTTCTGTAGAATCTGCAAGTGGATATATGGACCGCTTTGAGGCCTTCGTTGGAAACGGGATTTCTTCCTATAAACCCAGACAGAAGAATTCTCAGAGATTTCTTTGTGATGTGTGAATTCAACTCACAGTGTGGATCCTTCCTTTTGATAGAGCAGTTTTGAAACACTGTTTTTGTAGTATTTCCAAGCGGATATTTGGAACGCCTTGAAGCGTATGGTAGAAAAGGAAATATCTTCCCATAAAACCTAGACAGAACCCATCTCAGAAACGACTTTGTGATGTCTGCATTCAACTCACAGAGTTGAACATTTCTCTTGATAGAGCAGTTTTGAAACCCTCTTTCTGAAGGATCTGCAAGTGGATATTTGGAACTCCTTTGGGTCTTCGTTGGAAACGGGATTTCTTCGTATAAATCCAGACAGAAGAATTCTCCGAAACTTCTTTGGTTGTGTGCATTCAAGTCACAGAGTGGAACCTTCCTTTGGATAGAGCAGTTTGAAACGCTGTGGTTGTAGTATTTCCAAGCGGATATTAGAGCGCCTTGAAGCCTATGGTAGAAAAGGAAATATCTTCCCATAAAACCTAGACGGAAGCAATCTCAGAAACTACTGTGTGATGGCTGCATTCCACACACACGGTGGAACATTTCTCTTGATAGAGCAGTTTTGAAACACTCTTTCTGCAGAATCTGCAAGTGGATAATTGGACCGCCTTGAGGCCTTCGTTGGAAACGGGATTTCTTCATGTTACTCTAGACAGAAGAATTCTCAAACACTGCTATGTGATGTTTGCATTCAAGTCACAGAGTGCAACATTCCTCTTGATAGAGCAGTTGGGAAACACTCCTTTTGTAGAATTTGCAATGGGATATTTGGACTTCTTTGAGGCCTTCGTTGGAAACGGGATTTCTTCGTATGAATCTAGACAGAAGAATTCTCAGAAACTTCCTTGTGATGTGTGCATTCAACTCAGCGAGTGGCACCTTCCTTTGGATACAGCAGTTTTGAAACACTGTTTTTGTAGTATTTCCAAGCGGATATTTAGAGCGCCTTGAAGCCTATGCTAGAAATGGAAATATCTCCCCATAAAACCAAGACAGAAGCAATCTCAGAAACTAATGTGTGATGGCTGCATTCCACACACACGGTGGACCATTTCTCTTGATAGAGCAGTTTTGAAACACTCTTTCTGTAGAATCTGCAAGTGGATAATTGGACCTCCTAGAGGCCTTCGTTGGAAACGGGATTTCTTCATCTAAACCTACAGAGAAGAATTCTCAGTAACTTCTTCGGATGTGTGCATTCGACTCACAGAATGGAACATTCCCTTTGATAGAGCAGTTTTGAGACACCGTTTTTGTAGAATTCCCAAGTGGATATTTAGAGCACTTTGAAGTCTCTGCTAGAAAAGGAAACATCTTCATGTAAAAAGTAGATAGAATCGTTCTCAGAAAGTGCTTAGTGACGTGTGCGTTCAACTCACAGAGTTTAACGTTTCTTTTGATAGAGCGTTTCTGAAACACCCTTCTTGTAGTAGCTGCAAGTGGATATTTGGACCTATTTGAGGCCTTCTTTGGAAACGGGATTTCTTCATGTAACTCTAGATTGAAGAATTTTCAGAAACTCCTTTGTGATGTGTGCATTCAATTCAAAGAGTGAAACCTCCCTTTTCACAGAGCAGTTTTGAAACACTGTTTTTGTAGGATTTCCAAGGGGATATTTATAGCGCATTGAGCCTATGGCAGAAAAAGAAACATCTTCCTATAAAAACTAGACAGAATAATTCTCAGAATCTGCTTTGCGATGTGTGCGTTCAACTCACAGAGTAAAACTTTTCTTTTGATAGAGCAGTTTTGAAACACTCTTTTTGTAGTATTTGCATGTGTATATTTAGAGCGCATTGAAGCCCACAGTAGAAAAGGAAATAACTTCACCTAAAACCTAGACAGAAGCAATCTCAGAAACTACTTTGTGATGTGTACATTCAACTCACAGAGTGGAACTTTTCTCTTTATAGAGCAGTGTTGAAACACTCTTTTTGTAGAAACTGCAAGTGGATATTTGGACCTCTTTGAGGCCTTCGTTGGAAACGGGATTTCTTCCTATAACCCTAGACAGAAGAATTTTCAGAAACCTCATTGTGATGTGTGCGTTCATCTCACAGAGTGGAGTCTTCCGTTTGATAGAGAAGTTTTGAAACCCTGTTCTTGTAGGATTTCCAAGTGGATATTTAGACCACTTTGAAGCCTATGATAGAAAAGGAAACATCTTCATGGAAAACATAGATAGAATCATTCTCAGAAACAACTTTGTGATGTGTGCGTTGAACTCACCGTCTTTAACCTTTCTTTTGGTAGAGAAGTTTTGAAACACTCTCTTTGTAAAGTCTACAAGTGGATATTTTGAGCCCTTGGAGGCATTCTTTGGAAAAGGGAATGTCTTCACATAAAAGGCAGACAGAAGTGTTCTCAGAAACTGCTTTGTGATGTCTGTGTTCAACTCACAGAGTTTAACATTTCCTTTGAGAGAGCGGTTTAGTAACACTCTCTTTGTAGAATTTGGAAGTGTATACTAAGAGTGCTTTGAGGCCTATGGTAGAAAAGGAAATATCTTTCCATAAAAGCTAGACAGAATCAATCTCAGAAACTCCTTTGTGATGTCGGCATTCAACTCTCCGAGTGGAACATTCCTCTTGATAGAGCAGTTTGGAAACACTCTTTCTGTAGAATCAGCTTGTTTGTATTTGGACCTCCTTGAGGCCTTCGTTGGAAACGGGTTTTCATCTTATAAACCCAGACAGAAGAATTCTCAGAGTCTTCTTTGTGATGTGTGCTTTCAACTCACCGAGATAAAGATTTCTCTTGATAGAGCAATTTGGAAACACTCTTTTTGTAGAATTTGCAAGGGTACATTGAGAGCGCTTTCAGGCCTATGGTAGAAAAGGGAATATCTTTCCATAAAAGGTAGACAGAAGCAATCTCAGAAACTACTTTGTGATGTGTGCATTCAACTCACCGAGTGCAACGTTCCTCTTGACCGAGCAGTTTGGAAACATTGTTTCTGTAGAATCTGCAAGTGGATATTTGGACCTCTTTGAGGCCTTCGTTGGAAATGGGATTTCTTCCTATAAACCCAGACAGAAGAATTCTCAGAGACTTCTTTGTGATGTGTGAATTCAACTCACAGTGTGGATCCTTCCTTTTGATAGAGCAGTTTCGAAACACTGTTTTTGTTGTATTTCCAAGCGGATATTTGGAACGCCTTGAAGCGTGTGGTAGAAAAGGAAATATCTTCCCATAAAACCTAGACAGAACCCATCTCAGAAACGACTTTGTGATGTCTGCATTCAACTCACAGAGTTGAACATTTCTCTTGATAGAGCAGTTTTGAAACCCTCTTTCTGAAGGATCTGCAAGTGGATATTTGGAACTCCTTTGGGTCTTCGTTGGAAACGGGATTTCTTCGTATAAATCCAGACAGAAGAATTCTCCGAAACTTCTTTGGTTGTGTGCATTCAAGTCACAGAGTGGAACCTTCCTTTGGATAGAGCAGTTTGAAACGCTGTGGTTGTAGTATTTCCAAGCGGATATTAGAGCGCCTTGAAGCCTATGGTAGAAAAGGAAATATCTTCCCATAAAACCTAGACGGAAGCAATCTCAGAAACTACTGTGTGATGGCTGCATTCCACACACACGGTGGAACATTTCTCTTGATAGAGCAGTTTTGAAACACTCTTTCTGTAGAATCTGCAAGTGGATAATTGGACCGCCTTGAGGCCTTCGTTGGAAACGGGATTTCTTCATGTTACTCTAGACAGAAGATTTCTCAAACACTGCTATGTGATGTTTGCATTCAAGTCACAGAGTGCAACATTCCTCTTGATAGAGCAGTTGGGAAACACTCCTTTTGTAGAATTTGCAATGGGATATTTGGACTTCTTTGAGGCCTTCGTTGGAAACGGGATTTCTTCGTATGAATCTAGACAGAAGAATTCTCAGAAACTTCCTTGTGATGTGTGCATTCAACTCAGCGAGTGGCACCTTCCTTTGGATACAGCAGTTTTGAAACACTGTTTTTGTAGTATTTCCAAGCGGATATTTAGAGCGCCTTGAAGCCTATGCTAGAAATGGAAATATCTCCCCATAAAACCAAGACAGAAGCAATCTCAGAAACTAATGTGTGATGGCTGCATTCCACACACACGGTGGACCATTTCTCTTGATAGAGCAGTTTTGAAACACTCTTTCTGTAGAATCTGCAAGTGGATAATTGGACCTCCTAGAGGCCTTCGTTGGAAACG
Source organism: Homo sapiens (assembly GCF_000001405.40). Lineage (NCBI taxonomy): Eukaryota > Metazoa > Chordata > Mammalia > Primates > Hominidae > Homo > Homo sapiens. The sequence goes on from NC_000006.12 coordinate 59,164,553, forward strand.
GGATTTCTTCATCTAAACCTACAGAGAAGAATTCTCAGTAACTTCTTCGGATGTGTGCATTCGACTCACAGAATGGAACATTCCCTTTGGTAGAGCAGTTTTGAGACACCGTTTTTGTAGAATTCCCAAGTGGATATTTAGAGCACTTTGAAGTCTCTGCTAGAAAAGGAAACATCTTCATGTAAAAAGTAGATAGAATCGTTCTCAGAAAGTGCTTAGTGACGTGTGCGTTCAACTCACAGAGTTTAACGTTTCTTTTGATAGAGCGTTTCTGAAACACCCTTCTTGTAGTAGCTGCAAGTGGATATTTGGACCTATTTGAGGCCTTCTTTGGAAACGGGATTTCTTCATGTAACTCTAGATTGAAGAATTTTCAGAAACTCCTTTGTGATGTGTGCATTCAATTCAAAGAGTGAAACCTCCCTTTTCACAGAGCAGTTTTGAAACACTGTTTTTGTAGGACTTCCAAGGGGATATTTATAGCGCATTGATCCTATGGCAGAAAAAGAAACATCTTCCTATAAAAACTAGACAGAATAATTCTCAGAATCTGCTTTGCGATGTGTGCGTTCAACTCACAGAGTAAAACTTTTCTTTTGATAGAGCAGTTTTGAAACAGTCTTTTTGTAGTATTTGCATGTGTATATTTAGAGCGCATTGAAGCCCACAGTAGAAAAGGAAATAACTTCACCTAAAACCTAGACAGAAGCAATCTCAGAAACTACTTTGTGATGTGTACATTCAACTCACAGAGTGGAACTTTCCTCTTTATAGAGCAGTGTTGAAACACTCTTTTTGTAGAAACTGCAAGTGGATATTTGGACCTCTTTGAGGCCTTCGTTGGAAACGGGATTTCTTCCTATAACCCTAGACAGAAGAATTTTCAGAAACCTCATTGTGATGTGTGCGTTCATCTCACAGAGTGGAGTCTTCCGTTTGATAGAGAAGTTTTGAAACCCTGTTCTTGTAGGATTTCCAAGTGGATATTTAGACCACTTTGAAGCCTATGATAGAAAAGGAAACATCTTCATGGAAAACATAGATAGAATCATTCTCAGAAACAACTTTGTGATGTGTGCGTTGAACTCACCGTCTTTAACCTTTCTTTTGGTAGAGAAGTTTTGAAACACTCTCTTTGTAAAGTCTACAAGTGGATATTTTGAGCCCTTGGAGGCATTCTTTGGAAAAGGGAATGTCTTCACATAAAAGGCAGACAGAAGTGTTCTCAGAAACTGCTTTGTGATGTCTGTGTTCAACTCACAGAGTTTAACATTTCCTTTGATAGAGCAGTTTAGTAACACTCTCTTTGTAGAATTTGGAAGTGTATTCTAAGAGCGCTTTGAGGCCTATGGTAGAAAAGGAAATATCTTTCCATAAAAGCTAGACAGAAGCAATCTCAGAAACTCCTTTGTGATGTCTGCATTCAACTCACCGAGTGGAACATTCCTCTTGATAGAGCAGTTTGGAAACACTCTTTCTGTAGAATCAGCTTGTTTGTATTTGGACCTCCTTGAGGCCTTCGTTGGAAACGGGTTTTCATACTTATAAACCCAGACAGAAGAATTCTCAGAGTCTTCTTTGTGATGTGTGCTTTCAACTCACCGAGATAAAGATTTCTCTTGATAGAGCAATTTGGAAACACTCTTTTTGTAGAATTTGCAAGGGTACATTGAGAGCGCTTTCAGGCCTATGGTAGAAAAGGGAATATCTTTCCATAAAAGGTAGACAGAAGCAATCTCAGAAACTACTTTGTGATGTGTGCATTCAACTCACCGAGTGCAACATTCCTCTTGACCGAGCAGTTTGGAAACATTGTTTCTGTAGAATCTGCAAGTGGATATTTGGACCTCTTTGAGGCCTTCGTTGGAAACGGGATTTCTTCCTATAAACCCAGACAGAAGAATTCTCAGAGACTTCTTTGTGATGTGTGAATTCAACTCACAGTGTGGATCCTTCCTTTTGATAGAGCAGTTTTGAAACACTGTTTTTGTAGTATTTCCAAGCGGATATTTGGAACGCCTTGAAGCGTATGGTAGAAAAGGAAATATCTTCCCATAAAACCTAGACAGAACCAATCTCAGAAACGACTTTGTGATGTCTGCATTCAACTCACAGAGTTGAACATTTCTCTTGATAGAGCAGTTTTGAAACCCTCTTTCTGAAGGATCTGCAAGTGGATATTAGGAACTCCTTTGGGTCTTCGTTGGAAACGGGATTTCTTCGTACAAATCTAGACAGAAGAATTCTCCGAAACTTCTTTGGTTGTGTGCATTCAAGTCACAGAGTGGAACCTTCCTTTGGATAGAGCAGTTTGAAACGCTGTGGTTGTAGTATTTCCAAGCGGATATTAGAGCGCCTTGAGGCCTATGGTAGAAAAGGAAATATCTTCCCATAAAACCTAGACGGAAGCAATCTCAGAAACTACTGTGTGATGGCTGCATTCCACACACACGGTGGAACATTTCTCTTGATAGAGCAGTTTTGAAACACTCTTTCTGTAGAATCTGCAAGTGGATAATTGGACCGCCTTGAGGCCTTCGTTGGAAACGGGATTTCTTCATGTTACTCTAGACAGAAGAATTCTCAAACACTGCTGTGTGATGTTTGCATTCAAGTCACAGAGTGCAACATTCCTCTTGATAGAGCAGTTGGGAAACACTCCTTTTGTAGAATTTGCAATGGGATATTTGGACTTCTTTGAGGCCTTCGTTGGAAACGGGATTTCTTCGTATGAATCTAGACAGAAGAATTCTCAGAAACTTCCTTGTGATGTGTGCATTCAACTCAGCGAGTGGCACCTTCCTTTGGATACAGCAGTTTTGAAACACTGTTTTTGTAGTATTTCCAAGCGGATATTTAGAGCGCCTTGAAGCCTATGCTAGAAATGGAAATATCTCCCCATAAAACCAAGACAGAAACAATCTCAGAAACTAATGTGTGATGGCTGCATTCCACACACACGGTGGACCATTTCTCTTGATAGAGCAGTTTTGAAACACTCTTTCTGTAGAATCTGCAAGTGGATAATTGGACCTCCTAGAGGCCTTCGTTGGAAACGGGATTTCTTCATCTAAACCTACAGAGAAGAATTCTCAGTAACTTCTTCGGATGTGTGCATTCGACTCACAGAATGGAACATTCCGTTTGATAGAGCAGTTTTGAGACACCGTTTTTGTAGAATTCCCAAGTGGATATTTAGAGCACTTTGAAGTCTCTGCTAGAAAAGGAAACATCTTCATGTAAAAAGTAGATAGAATCGTTCTCAGAAAGTGCTTAGTGACGTGTGTGTTCAACTCACAGAGTTTAACATTTCTTTTGATAGAGCGTTTCTGAAACACCCTTCTTGTAGTAGCTGCAAGTGGATATTTGGACCTATTTGAGGCCTTCTTTGGAAACGGGATTTCTTCATGTAACTCTAGTTTGAAGAATTTTCAGAAACTCCTTTGTGATGTGTGCATTCAATTCAAAGAGTGAAACCTCCCTTTTCACAGAGCAGTTTTGAAACACTGTTTTTGTAGGATTTCCAAGGGGATATTTATAGCGCATTGAGCCTACGGCAGAAAAAGAAACATCTTCCTATAAAAACTAGACAGAATAATTCTCAGAATCTGCTTTGCGATGTGTGCGTTCAACCCACAGAGTAAAACTTTTCTTTTGATAGAGCAGTTTTGAAACACTCTTTTTGTAGTATTTGCATGTGTATATTTAGAGCGCATTGAAGCCCACAGTAGAAAAGGAAATAACTTCACCTAAAACCTAGACAGAAGCAATCTCAGAAACTACTTTGTGATGTGTACATTCAACTCACAGAGTGGAACTTTCCTCTTTATAGAGCAGTGTTGAAACACTCTTTTTGTAGAAACTGCAAGTGGATATTTGGACCTCTTTGAGGCCTTCGTTGGAAAGGGGATTTCTTCCTATAACCCTAGACAGAAGAATTTTCAGAAACCTCATTGTGATGTGTGCGTTCATCTCACAGAGTGGAGTCTTCCGTTTGATAGAGGAGCTTTGAAACCCTGTTCTTGTAGGATTTCCAGGTGGATATTTAGACCACTTGGAAGCCTATGATAGAAAAGGAAACATCTTCATGGAAAACATAGATAGAATCATTCTCAGAAACAACTTTGTGATGTGTGCGTTGAACTCACCGTCTTTAACCTTTCTTTTGGTAGAGAAGTTTTGAAACACTCTCTTTGTAAAGTCTACAAGTGGATATTTTGAGCCCTTGGAGGCATTCTTTGGAAAAGGGAATGTCTTCACATAAAAGGCAGACAGAAGTGTTCTCAGAAACTGCTTTGTGATGTCTGTGTTCAACTCACAGAGTTTAACATTTCCTTTGAGAGAGCGGTTTAGTAACACTCTCTTTGTAGAATTTGGAAGTGTATACTAAGAGCGCTTTGAGGCCTATGGTAGAAAAGGAAATATCTTTCCATAAAAGCTAGACAGAAGCAATCTCAGAAACTCCTTTGTGATGTCTGCATTCAACTCACCGAGTGGAACATTCCTCTTGATAGAGCAGTTTGGAAACACTCTTTCTGTAGAATCAGCTTGTTTGTATTTGGACCTCCTTGAGGCCTTCGTTGGAAACGGGTTTTCATCTTATAAACCCAGACAGAAGAATTCTCAGAGTCTTCTTTGTGATGTGTGCTTTCAACTCACCGAGATAAAGATTTCTCTTGATAGAGCAATTTGGAAACACTCTTTTTGTAGAATTTGCAAGGGTACATTGAGAGCGCTTTCAGGCCTATGGTAGAAAAGGGAATATCTTTCCATAAAAGGTAGACAGAAGCAATCTCAGAAACTACTTTGTCATGTGTGCATTCAACTCACCGAGTGCAACATTCCTCTTGACCGAGCAGTTTGGAAACATTGTTTCTGTAGAATCTGCAAGTGGATATATGGACCGCTTTGAGGCCTTCGTTGGAAACGGGATTTCTTCCTATAAACCCAGACAGAAGAATTCTCAGAGATTTCTTTGTGATGTGTGAATTCAACTCACAGTGTGGATCCTTCCTTTTGATAGAGCAGTTTTGAAACACTGTTTTTGTAGTATTTCCAAGCAGATATTTGGAACGCCTTGAAGCGTATAGTAGAAAAGGAAATATCTTCCCATAAAACCTAGACAGAACCCATCTCAGAAACGACTTTGTGATGTCTGCATTCAACTCACAGAGTTGAACATTTCTCTTGATAGAGCAGTTTTGAAACCCTCTTTCTGAAGGATCTGCAAGTGGATATTTGGAACTCCTTTGGGTCTTCGTTGGAAACGGGATTTCTTCGTATAAATCCAGACAGAAGAATTCTCCGAAACTTTTTGGTTGTGTGCATTCAAGTCACAGAGTGGAACCTTCCTTTGGATAGAGCAGTTTGAAACGCTGTGGTTGTAGTATTTCCAAGCGGATATTAGAGCGCCTTGAGGCCTATGGTAGAAAAGGAAATATCTTCCCATAAAACCTAGACGGAAGCAATCTCAGAAACTACTGTGTGATGGCTGCATTCCACACACACGGTGGAACATTTCTCTTGATAGAGCAGTTTTGAAACACTCTTTCTGTAGAATCTGCAAGTGGATAATTGGACCGCCTTGAGGCCTTCGTTGGAAACGGGATTTCTTCATGTTACTCTAGACAGAAGAATTCTCAAACACTGCTATGTGATGTTTGCATGCAAGTCACAGAGTGCAACATTCCTCTTGATAGAGCAGTTGGGAAACACTCCTTTTGTAGAATTTGCAATGGGATATTTGGACTTCTTTGAGGCCTTCGTTGGAAACGGGATTTCTTCGTATGAATCTAGACAGAAGAATTCTCAGAAACTTCCTTGTGATGTGTGCATTCAACTCAGCGAGTGGCACCTTCCTTTGGATACAGCAGTTTTGAAACACTGTTTTTGTAGTATTTCCAAGCGGATATTTAGAGCGCCTTGAAGCCTATGCTAGAAATGGAAATATCTCCCCATAAAACCAAGACAGAAGCAATCTCAGAAACTAATGTGTGATGGCTGCATTCCACACACACGGTGGACCATTTCTCTTGATAGAGCAGTTTTGAAACACTCTTTCTGTAGAATCTGCAAGTGGATAATTGGACCTCCTAGAGGCCTTCGTTGGAAACGGGATTTCTTCATCTAAACCTACAGAGAAGAATTCTCAGTAACTTCTTCGGATGTGTGCATTCGACTCACAGAATGGAACATTCCCTTTGATAGAGCAGTTTTGAGACACCGTTTTTGTAGAATTCCCAAGTGGATATTTAGAGCACTTTGAAGTCTCTGCTAGAAAAGGAAACATCTTCATGTAAAAAGTAGATAGAATCGTTCTCAGAAAGTGCTTAGTGACGTGTGTGTTCAACTCACAGAGTTTAACGTTTCTTTTGATAGAGCGTTTCTGAAACATCCTTCTTGTAGTAGCTGCAAGTGGATATTTGGACCTATTTGAGGCCTTCTTTGGAAACGGGATTTCTTCATGTAACTCTAGTTTGAAGAATTTTCAGAAACTCCTTTGTGATGTGTGCATTCAATTCAAAGAGTGAAACGTCCCTTTTCACAGAGCAGTTTTGAAACACTGTTTTTGTAGGATTTCCAAGGGGATATTTATAGCGCATTGATCCTATGGCAGAAAAAGAAACATCTTCCTATAAAAACTAGACAGAATAATTCTCAGAATCTGCTTTGCGATGTGTGCGTTCAACTCACAGAGTAAAACTTTTCTTTTGATAGAGCAGTTTTGAAACACTCTTTTTGTAGTATTTGCATGTGTATATTTAGAGCGCATTGAAGCCCACAGTAGAAAAGGAAATAACTTCACCTAAAACCTAGACAGAAGCAATCTCAGAAACTACTTTGTGATGTGTACATTCAACTCACAGAGTGGAACTTTTCTCTTTATAGAGCAGTGTTGAAACACTCTTTTTGTAGAAACTGCAAGTGGATATTTGGACCTCTTTGAGGCCTTCGTTGGAAACGGGATTTCTTCCTATAACCCTAGACAGAAGAATTTTCAGAAACCTCATTGTGATGTGTGCGTTCATCTCACAGAGTGGAGTCTTCCGTTTGATAGAGAAGTTTTGAAACCCTGTTCTTGTAGGATTTCCAAGTGGATATTTAGACCACTTTGAAGCCTATGATAGAAAAGGAAACATCTTCATGGAAAACATAGATAGAATCATTCTCAGAAACAACTTTGTGATGTGTGCGTTGAACTCACTGTCTTTAACCTTTCTTTTGGTAGAGAAGTTTTGAAACACTCTCTTTGTAAAGTCTACAAGTGGATATTTTGAGCCCTTGGAGGCATTCTTTGGAAAAGGGAATGTCTTCACATAAAAGGCAGACAGAAGTGTTCTCAGAAACTGCTTTGTGATGTCTGTGTTCAACTCACAGAGTTTAACATTTCCTTTGAGAGAGCGGTTTAGTAACACTCTCTTTGTAGAATTTGGAAGTGTATACTAAGAGCGCTTTGAGGCCTATGGTAGAAAAGGAAATATCTTTCCATAAAAGCTAGACAGAAGCAATCTCAGAAACTCCTTTGTGATGTCTGCATTCAACTCACCGAGTGGAACATTCCTCTTGATAGAGCAGTTTGGAAACACTCTTTCTGTAGAATCAGCTTGTTTGTATTTGGACCTCCTTGAGGCCTTCGTTGGAAACGGGTTTTCATCTTATAAACCCAGACAGAAGAATTCTCAGAGTCTTCTTTGTGATGTGTGCTTTCAACTCACCGAGATAAAGATTTCTCTTGATAGAGCAATTTGGAAACACTCTTTTTGTAGAATTTGCAAGGGTACATTGAGAGCGCTTTCAGGCCTATGGTAGAAAAGGGAATATCTTTCCATAAAAGGTAGACAGAAGCAATCTCAGAAACTACTTTGTGATGTGTGCATTCAACTCACCGAGTGCAACATTCCTCTTGATAGAGCAGTTTGGAAACATTGTTTCTGTAGAATCTGCAAGTGGATATATGGACCGCTTTGAGGCCTTCGTTGGAAACGGGATTTCTTCCTATAAACCCAGACAGAAGAATTCTCAGAGATTTCTTTGTGATGTGTGAATTCAACTCACAGTGTGGATCCTTCCTTTTGATAGAGCAGTTTTGAAACACCGTTTTTGTAGTATTTCCAAGCGGATATTTGGAACGCCTTGAAGCGTATGGTAGAAATGAAATATCTTCCCATAAAACATAGACAGAACCAATCTCAGAAACGACTTTGTGATGTCTGCATTCAACTCACAGAGTTGAACATTTCTCTTGATAGAGCAGTTTTGAAACCCTCTTTCTGAAGGATCTGCAAGTGGATATTTGGAACTCCTTTGGGTCTTCGTTGGAAACGGGATTTCTTCGTATAAATCTAGACAGAAGAATTCTCCGAAACTTCTTTGGTTGTGTGCATTCAAGTCACAGAGTGGAACCTTCCTTTGGATAGAGCAGTTTGAAACGCTGTGGTTGTAGTATTTCCAAGCGGATATTAGAGCGCCTTGAGGCCTATGGTAGAAAAGGAAATATCTTCCCATAAAACCTAGACGGAAGCAATCTCAGAAACTACTGTGTGATGGCTGCATTCCACACACACGGTGGAACATTTCTCTTGATAGAGCAGTTTTGAAACACTCTTTCTGTAGAATCTGCAAGTGGATAATTGGACCGCCTTGAGGCCTTCGTTGGAAACGGGATTTCTTCATGTTACTCTAGACAGAAGAATTCTCAAACACTGCTGTGTGATGTTTGCATGCAAGTCACAGAGTGCAACATTCCTCTTGATAGAGCAGTTGGGAAACACTCCTTTTGTAGAATTTGCAATGGGATATTTGGACTTCTTTGAGGCCTTCGTTGGAAACGGGATTTCTTCGTATGAATCTAGACAGAAGAATTCTCAGAAACTTCCTTGTGATGTGTGCATTCAACTCAGCGAGTGGCACCTTCCTTTGGATACAGCAGTTTTGAAACACTGTTTTTGTAGTATTTCCAAGCGGATATTTAGAGCGCCTTGAAGCCTATGCTAGAAATGGAAATATCTCCCCATAAAACCAAGACAGAAGCAATCTCAGAAACTAATGTGTGATGGCTGCATTCCACACACACGGTGGACCATTTCTCTTGATAGAGCAGTTTTGAAACACTCTTTCTGTAGAATCTGCAAGTGGATAATTGGACCTCCTAGAGGCCTTCGTTGGAAACGGGATTTCTTCATCTAAACCTACAGAGAAGAATTCTCAGTAACTTCTTCGGATGTGTGCATTCGACTCACAGAATGGAACATTCCCTTTGGTAGAGCAGTTTTGAGACACCGTTTTTGTAGAATTCCCAAGTGGATATTTAGAGCACTTTGAAGTCTCTGCTAGAAAAGGAAACATCTTCATGTAAAAAGTAGATAGAATCGTTCTCAGAAAGTGCTTAGTGACGTGTGCGTTCAACTCACAGAGTTTAACGTTTCTTTTGATAGAGCGTTTCTGAAACACCCTTCTTGTAGTAGCTGCAAGTGGATATTTGGACCTATTTGAGGCCTTCTTTGGAAACGGGATTTCTTCATGTAACTCTAGATTGAAGAATTTTCAGAAACTCCTTTGTGATGTGTGCATTCAATTCAAAGAGTGAAACCTCCCTTTTCACAGAGCAGTTTTGAAACACTGTTTTTGTAGGATTTCCAAGGGGATATTTATAGCGCATTGAGCCTATGGCAGAAAAAGAAACATCTTCCTATAAAAACTAGACAGAATAATTCTCAGAATCTGCTTTGCGATGTGTGCGTTCAACTCACAGAGTAAAACTTTTCTTTTGATAGAGCAGTTTTGAAACACTCTTTTTGTAGTATTTGCATGTGTATATTTAGAGCGCTTTGAAGCCCACAGTAGAAAAGGAAATAACTTCACCTAAAACCTAGACAGAAGCAATCTCAGAAACTATTTTGTGATGTGTACATTCAACTCACAGAGTGGAACTTTCCTCTTTATAGAGCAGTGTTGAAACACTCTTTTTGTAGAAACTGCAAGTGGATATTTGGACCTTCTTTGAGGCCTTCGTTGGAAACGGGATTTCTTCCTATAACCCTAGACAGAAGAATTTTCAGAAACCTCATTGTGATGTGTGCGTTCATCTCACAGAGTGGAGTCTTCCGTTTGATAGAGAAGTTTTGAAACCCTGTTCTTGTAGGATTTCCAAGTGGATATTTAGACCACTTTGAATCCTATGATAGAAAAGGAAACATCTTCATGGAAAACATTGATAGAATCATTCTCAGAAACAACTTTGTGATGTGTGCGTTGAACTCACCGTCTTTAACCTTTCTTTTGGTAGAGAAGTTTTGAAACACTCTCTTTGTAAAGTCTACAAGTGGATATTTTGAGCCCTTGGAGGCATTCTTTGGAAAAGGGAATGTCTTCACATAAAAGGCAGACAGAAGTGTTCTCAGAAACTGCTTTGTGATGTCTGTGTTCAACTCACAGAGTTTAACATTTCCTTTGAGAGAGCGGTTTAGTAACACTCTCTTTGTAGAATTTGGAAGTGTATACTAAGAGCGCTTTGAGGCCTATGGTAGAAAAGGAAATATCTTTCCATAAAAGCTAGACAGAAGCAATCTCAGAAACTCCTTTGTGATGTCTGCATTCAACTCACCGAGTGGAACATTCCTCTTGATAGAGCAGTTTGGAAACACTCTTTCTGTAGAATCAGCTTGTTTGTATTTGGACCTCCTTGAGGCCTTCGTTGGAAACGGGTTTTCATCTTATAAACCCAGACAGAAGAATTCTCAGAGTCTTCTTTGTGATGTGTGCTTTCAACTCACCGAGATAAAGATTTCTCTTGATAGAGCAATTTGGAAACACTCTTTTTGTAGAATTTGCAAGGGTACATTGAGAGCGCTTTCAGGCCTATGGTAGAAAAGGGAATATCTTTCCATAAAAGGTAGACAGAAGCAATCTCAGAAACTACTTTGTGATGTGTGCATTCAACTCACCGAGTGCAACATTCCTCTTGATAGAGCAGTTTGGAAACATTGTTTCTGTAGAATCTGCAAGTGGATATATGGACCGCTTTGAGGCCTTCGTTGGAAACGGGATTTCTTCCTATAAACCCAGACAGAAGAATTCTCAGAGATTTCTTTGTGATGTGTGAATTCAACTCACAGTGTGGATCCTTCCTTTTGATAGAGCAGTTTTGAAACACTGTTTTTGTAGTATTTCCAAGCGGATATTTGGAACACCTTGAAGCGTAAGGTAGAAAAGGAAATATCTTCCCATAAAACCTAGACAGAACCCATCTCAGAAACGACTTTGTGATGTCTGCATTCAACTCACAGAGTTGAACATTTCTCTTGATAGAGCAGTTTTGAAACCCTCTTTCTGAAGGATCTGCAAGTGGATATTTGGAACTCCTTTGGGTCTTCGTTGGAAACGGGATTTCTTCGTATAAATCCAGACAGAAGAATTCTCCGAAACTTCTTTGGTTGTGTGCATTCAAGTCACAGAGTGGAACCTTCCTTTGGATAGAGCAGTTTGAAACGCTGTGGTTGTAGTATTTCCAAGCGGATATTAGAGCGCCTTGAAGCCTATGGTAGAAAAGGAAATATCTTCCCATAAAACCTAGACGGAAGCAATCTCAGAAACTACTGTGTGATGGCTGCATTCCACACACACGGTGGAACATTTCTCTTGATAGAGCAGTTTTGAAACACTCTTTCTGTAGAATCTGCAAGTGGATAATTGGACGGCCTTGAGGCCTTCGTTGGAAACGGGATTTCTTCATGTTACTCTAGACAGAAGAATTCTCAAACACTGCTATGTGATGTTTGCATTCAAGTCACAGAGTGCAACATTCCTCTTGATAGAGCAGTTGGGAAACACTCCTTTTGTAGAATTTGCAATGGGATATTTGGACTTCTTTGAGGCCTTCGTTGGAAACGGGATTTCTTCGTATGAATCTAGACAGAAGAATTCTCAGAAACTTCCTTGTGATGTGTGCATTCAACTCAGCGAGTGGCACCTTCCTTTGGATACAGCAGTTTTGAAACACTGTTTTTGTACTATTTCCAAGCGGATATTTAGAGCGCCTTGAAGCCTATGCTAGAAATGGAAATATCTCCCCATAAAACCAAGACAGAAGTAATCTCAGAAACTAATGTGTGATGGCTGCATTCCACACACACGGTGGACCATTTCTCTTGATAGAGCAGTTTTGAAACACTCTTTCTGTAGAATCTGCAAGTGGATAATTGGACCTCCTAGAGGCCTTCGTTGGAAACGGGATTTCTTCATCTAAACCTACAGAGAAGAATTCTCAGTAACTTCTTCGGATGTGTGCATTCGACTCACAGAATGGAACATTCCGTTTGATAGAGCAGTTTTGAGACACCGTTTTTGTAGAATTCCCAAGTGGATATTTAGAGCACTTTGAAGTCTCTGCTAGAAAAGGAAACATCTTCATGTAAAAAGTAGATAGAATCGGTCTCAGAAAGTGCTTAGTGACGTGTGTGTTCAACTCACAGAGTTTAACGTTTCTTTTGATAGAGCGTTTCTGAAACACCCTTCTTGTAGTAGCTGCAAGTGGATATTTGGACCTATTTGAGGCCTTCTTTGGAAACGGGATTTCTTCATGTAACTCTAGATTGAAGAATTTTCAGAAACTCCTATGTGATGTGTGCATTCAATTCAAAGAGTGAAACCTCCCTTTTCACAGAGCAGTTTTGAAACACTGTTTTTGTAGGATTTCCAAGGGGATATTTATAGCGCATTGATCCTATGGCAAAAAAGAAACATCTTCCTATAAAAACTAGACAGAATAATTCTCAGAATCTGCTTTGCGATGTGTGCGTTCAACCCACAGAGTAAAACTTTTCTTTTGATAGAGCAGTTTTGAAACACTCTTTTTGTAGTATTTGCATGTGTATATTTAGAACGCATTGAAGCCCACAGTAGAAAAGGAAATAACTTCACCTAAAACCTAGACAGAAGCAATCTCAGAAACTACTTTGTGATGTGTACATTCAACTCACAGAGTGGAACTTTCCTCTTTATAGAGCAGTGTTGAAACACTCTTTTTGTAGAAACTGCAAGTGGATATTTGGACCTCTTTGAGGCTTTCATTGGAAACGGGATTTCTTCCTATAACCCTAGACAGAAGAATTTTCAGAAACCTCATTGTGATGTGTGCGTTCATCTCACAGAGTGGAGTCTTCCGTTTGATAGAGAAGCTTTGAAACCCTGTTCTTGTAGGATTTCCAAGTGGATATTTAGACCACTTTGAAGCCTATGATAGAAAAGGAAACATCTTCATGGAAAACATAGATAGAATCATTGTCAGAAACAACTTTGTGATGTGTGCGTTGAACTCACCGTCTTTAACCTTTCTTTTGGTAGAGAAGTTTTGAAACACTCTCTTTGTAAAGTCTACAAGTGGATATTTTGAGCCCTTGGAGGCATTCTTTGGAAAAGGGAATGTCTTCACATAAAAGGCAGACAGAAGTGTTCTCAGAAACTGCTTTGTGATGTCTGTGTTCAACTCACAGAGTTTAACATTTCCTTTGAGAGAGCGGTTTAGTAACACTCTCTTTGTAGAATTTGGAAGTGTATACTAAGAGCGCTTTGAGGCCTATGGTAGAAAAGGAATTATCTTTCCATAAAAGCTAGACAGAAGCAATCTCAGAAACTCCTTTGTGATGTCTGCATTCAACTCACCGAGTGGAACATTCCTCTTGATAGAGCAGTTTGGAAACACTCTTTCTGTAGAATCAGCTTGTTTGTATTTGGACCTCCTTGAGGCCTTCGTTGGAAACGGGTTTTCATCTTATAAACCCAGACAGAAGAATTCTCAGAGTCTTCTTTGTGATGTGTGCTTTCAACTCACCGAGATAAAGATTTCTCTTGATACAGCAATTTGGAAACACTCATTTTGTAGAATTTGCAAGGGTACATTGAGAGCGCTTTCAGGCCTATGGTAGAAAAGGGAATATCTTTCCATAAAAGGTAGACAGAAGCAATCTCAGAAACTAATTTGTGATGTGTGCATTCAACTCACCGAGTGCAACATTCCTCTTGACCGAGCAGTTTGGAAACATTGTTTCTGTAGAATCTGCAAGTGGATATTTGGACCTCTTTGAGGCCTTCGTTGGAAACGGGATTTCTTCCTATAAACCCAGACAGAAGAATTCTCAGAGATTTCTTTGTGATGTGTGAATTCAACTCACAGTGTGGATCCTTCCTTTTGATAGAGCAGTTTTGAAACACTGTTTTTGTAGTATTTCCAAGCGGATATTTGGAACGCCTTGAAGCGTATGGTAGAAAAGGAAATATCTTCCCATAAAACCTAGACAGAACCCATCTCAGAAACGACTTTGTGATGTCTGCATTCAACTCACAGAGTTGAACATTTCTCTTGATAGAGCAGTTTTGAAACCCTCTTTCTGAAGGATCTGCAAGTGGATATTTGGAACTCCTTTGGGTCTTCGTTGGAAACGGGATTTCTTCGTATAAATCCAGACAGAAGAATTCTCCGAAACTTCTTTGGTTGTGTGCATTCAAGTCACAGAGTGGAACCTTCCTTTGGATAGAGCAGTTTGAAACGCTGTGGTTGTAGTATTTCCAAGCGGATATTAGAGCGCCTTGAAGCCTATGGTAGAAAAGGAAATATCTTCCCATAAAACCTAGACGGAAGCAATCTCAGAAACTACTGTGTGATGGCTGCATTCCACACACACGGTGGAACATTTCTCTTGATAGAGCAGTTTTGAAACACTCTTTCTGTAGAATCTGCAAGTGGATAATTGGACCGCCTTGAGGCCTTCGTTGGAAACGGGATTTCTTCATGTTACTCTAGACAGAAGAATTCTCAAACACTGCTATGTGATGTTTGCATGCAAGTCACAGAGTGCAACATTCCTCTTGATAGAGCAGTTGGGAAACACTCCTTTTGTAGAATTTGCAATGGGATATTTGGACTTCTTTGAGGCCTTCGTTGGAAACGGGATTTCTTCGTATGAATCTAGACAGAAGAATTCTCAGAAACTTCCTTGTGATGTGTGCATTCAACTCAGCGAGTGGCACCTTCCTTTGGATACAGCAGTTTTGAAACACTGTTTTTGTAGTATTTCCAAGCGGATATTTAGAGCGCCTTGAAGCCTATGCTAGAAATGGAAATATCTCCCCATAAAACCAAGACAGAAGCAATCTCAGAAACTAATGTGTGATGGCTGCATTCCACACACACGGTGGACCATTTCTCTTGATAGAGCAGTTTTGAAACACTCTTTCTGTAGAATCTGCAAGTGGATAATTGGACCTCCTAGAGGCCTTCGTTGGAAACGGGATTTCTTCATCTAAACCTACAGAGAAGAATTCTCAGTAACTTCTTCGGATGTGTGCATTCGACTCACAGAATGGAACATTCCGTTTGATAGAGCAGTTTTGAGACACCGTTTTCGTAGAATTCCCAAGTGGATATTTAGAGCACTTTGAAGTCTCTGCTAGAAAAGGAAACATCTTCATGTAAAAAGTAGATAGAATCGTTCTCAGAAAGTGGTTAGTGACGTGTGTGTTCAACTCACAGAGTTTAACGTTTCTTTTGATAGAGCGTTTCTGAAACACCCTGCTTGTAGTAGCTGCAAGTGGATATTTGGACCTATTTGAGGCCTTCTTTGGAAACGGGATTTCTTCATGTAACTCTAGTTTGAAGAATTTTCAGAAACTCCTTTGTGATGTGTGCATTCAATTCAAAGAGTGAAACCTCCCTTTTCACAGAGCAGTTTTGAAACACTGTTTTTGTAGGATTTCCAAGGGGATATTTATAGTGCATTGAGCCTATGGCAGAAAAAGAAACATCTTCCTATAAAAACTAGACAGAATAATTCTCAGAATCTGCTTTGCGATGTGTGCGTTCAACCCACAGAGTAAAACTTTTCTTTTGATAGAGCAGTTTTGAAACACTCTTTTTGTAGTATTTGCATGTGTATATTTAGAGCGCATTGAAGCCCACAGTAGAAAAGGAAATAACTTCACCTAAAACCTAGACAGAAGCAATCTCAGAAACTACTTTGTGATGTGTACATTCAACTCACAGAGTGGAACTTTCCTCTTTATAGAGCAGTGTTGAAACACTCTTTTTGTAGAAACTGCAAGTGGATATTTGGACCTCTTTGAGGCCTTCGTTGGAAACGGGATTTCTTCCTATAACCCTAGACAGAAGAATTTTCAGAAACCTCATTGTGATGTGTGCGTTCATCTCACAGAGTGGAGTCTTCCGTTTGATAGAGAAGTTTTGAAACCCTGTTCTTGTAGGATTTCCAAGTGGATATTTAGACCACTTTGAAGCCTATGATAGAAAAGGAAACATCTTCATGGAAAACATAGATAGAATCATTCTCAGAAACAACTTTGTGATGTGTGCGTTGAACTCACCGTCTTTAACCTTTCTTTTGGTAGAGAAGTTTTGAAACACTCTCTTTGTAAAGTCTACAAGTGGATATTTTGAGCCCTTGGAGGCATTCTTTGGAAAAGGGAATGTCTTCACATAAAAGGCAGACAGAAGTGTTCTCAGAAACTGCTTTGTGATGTCTGTGTTCAACTCACAGAGTTTAACATTTCCTTTGAGAGAGCGGTTTAGTAACACTCTCTTTGTAGAATTTGGAAGTGTATACTAAGAGCGCTTTGAGGCCTATGGTAGAAAAGGAAATATCTTTCCATAAAAGCTAGACAGAAGCAATCTCAGAAACTCCTTTGTGATGTCTGCATTCAACTCACCGAGTGGAACATTCCTCTTGATAGAGCAGTTTGGAAACACTCTTTCTGTAGAATCAGCTTGTTTGTATTTGGACCTCCTTGAGGCCTTCGTTGGAAACGGGTTTTCATCTTATAAACCCAGACAGAAGAATTCTCAGAGTCTTCTTTGTGATGTGTGCTTTCAACTCACCGAGATAAAGATTTCTCTTGATAGAGCAATTTGGAAACACTCTTTTTGTAGAATTTGCAAGGGTACATTGAGAGCGCTTTCAGGCCTATGGTAGAAAAGGGAATATCTTTCCATAAAAGGTAGACAGAAGCAATCTCAGAAACTACTTTGTGATGTGTGCATTCAACTCACCGAGTGCAACATTCCTCTTGACCGAGCAGTTTGGAAACATTGTTTCTGTAGAATCTGCAAGTGGATATTTGGACCTCTTTGAGGCCTTCGTTGGAAACGGGATTTCTTCCTATAAACCGAGACAGAAGAATTCTCAGAGACTTCTTTGTGATGTGTGAATTCAACTCACAGTGTGGATCCTTCCTTTTGATAGAGCAGTTTTGAAACACTGTTTTTGTAGTATTTCCAAGCGGATATTTGGAACGCCTTGAAGCGTATGGTAGAAAAGGAAATATCTTCCCATAAAACCTAGACAGAACCAATCTCAGAAACGACTTTGTGATGTCTGCATTCAACTCACAGAGTTGAACATTTCTCTTGATAGAGCAGTTTTGAAACCCTCTTTCTGAAGGATCTGCAAGTGGATATTTGGAACT
Organism: Homo sapiens; assembly: GCF_000001405.40. NCBI lineage: Eukaryota > Metazoa > Chordata > Mammalia > Primates > Hominidae > Homo > Homo sapiens. Next base: position 59,182,025 of record NC_000006.12, read on the forward strand.
CCTTTGGGTCTTCGTTGGAAACGGGATTTCTTCGTATAAATCTAGACAGAAGAATTCTCCGAAACTTCTTTGGTTGTGTGCATTCAAGTCACAGAGTGGAACCTTCCTTTGGATAGAGCAGTTTGAAACGCTGTGGTTGTAGTATTTCCAAGCGGATATTAGAGCGCCTTGAGGCCTATGGTAGAAAAGGAAATATCTTCCCATAAAACCTAGACGGAAGCAATCTCAGAAACTACTGTGTGATGGCTGCATTCCACACACACGGTGGAACATTTCTCTTGATAGAGCAGTTTTGAAACACTCTTTCTGTAGAATCTGCAAGTGGATAATTGGACCACCTTGAGGCCTTCGTTGGAAACGGGATTTCTTCATGTTACTCTAGACAGAAGAATTCTCAAACACTGCTATGTGATGTTTGCATGCAAGTCACAGAGTGCAACATTCCTCTTGATAGAGCAGTTGGGAAACACTCCTTTTGTAGAATTTGCAATGGGATATTTGGACTTCTTTGAGGCCTTCGTTGGAAACGGGATTTCTTCGTATGAATCTAGACAGAAGAATTCTCAGAAACTTCCTTGTGATGTGTACATTCAACTCAGCGAGTGGCACCTTCCTTTGGATACAGCAGTTTTGAAACACTGTTTTTGTACTATTTCCAAGCGGATATTTAGAGCGCCTTGAAGCCTATGCTAGAAATGGAAATATCTCCCCATAAAACCAAGACAGAAGCAATCTCAGGAAACTAATGTGTGATGGCTGCATTCCACACACACGGTGGACCATTTCTCTTGATAGAGCAGTTTTGAAACACTCTTTCTGTAGAATCTGCAAGTGGATAATTGGACCTCCTAGAGGCCTTCGTTGGAAACGGGATTTCTTCATCTAAACCTACAGAGAAGAATTCTCAGTAACTTCTTCGGATGTGTGCATTCGACTCACAGAATGGAACATTCCCTTTGATAGAGCAGTTTTGAGACACCGTTTTTGTAGAATTCCCAAGTGGATATTTAGAGCACTTTGAAGTCTCTGCTAGAAAAGGAAACATCTTCATGTAAAAAGTAGATAGAATCGTTCTCAGAAAGTGCTTAGTGACGTGTGTGTTCAACTCACAGAGTTTATCGTTTCTTTTGATAGAGCGTTTCTGAAACACCCTTCTTGTAGTAGCTGCAAGTGGATATTTGGACCTATTTGAGGCCTTCTTTGGAAACGGGATTTCTTCATGTAACTCTAGATTGAAGAATTTTCAGAAACTCCTTTGTGATGTGTGCATTCAATTCAAAGAGTGAAACCTCCCTTTTCACAGAGCAGTTTTGAAACACTGTTTTTGTAGGATTTCCAAGGGGATATTTATAGCGCATTGATCCTATGGCAGAAAAAGAAACATCTTCCTATAAAAACTAGACAGAATAATTCTCAGAATCTGCTTTGCGATGTGTGCGTTCAACTCACAGAGTAAAACTTTTCTTTTGATAGAGCAGTTTTGAAACACTTTTTGTAGTATTTGCATGTGTATATTTAGAGCGCATTGAAGCCCACAGTAGAAAAGGAAATAACTTCACCTAAAACCTAGACAGAAGAAATCTCAGAAACTACTTTGTGATGTGTACATTCAACTCACAGAGTGGAACTTTCCTCTTTATAGAGCAGTGTTGAAACACTCTTTTTGTAGAAACTGCAAGTGGATATTTGGACCTCTTTGAGGCCTTCGTTGGAAACGGGATTTCTTCCTATAACCCTAGACAGAAGAATTTTCAGAAACCTCATTGTGATGTGTGCGTTCATCTCACAGAGTGGAGTCTTCCGTTTGATAGAGAAGTTTTGAAACCCTGTTCTTGTAGGATTTCCAAGTGGATATTTAGACCACTTTGAAGCCTATGATAGAAAAGGAAACATCTTCATGGAAAACATAGATAGAATCATGCTCAGAAACAACTTTGTGATGTGTGCGTTGAACTCACCGTCTTTAACCTTTCTTTTGGTAGAGAAGTTTTGAAACACTCTCTTTGTAAAGTCTACAAGTGGATATTTTGAGCCCTTGGAGGCATTCTTTGGAAAAGGGAATGTCTTCACATAAAAGGCAGACAGAAGTGTTCTCAGAAACTGCTTTGTGATGTCTGTGTTCAACTCACAGAGTTTAATATTTCCTTTGAGAGAGCGGTTTAGTAACACTCTCTTTGTAGAATTTGGAAGTGTATACTAAGAGCGTTTTGAGGCCTATGGTAGAAAAGGAATTATCTTTCCATAAAAGCTAGACAGAAGCAATCTCAGAAACTCCTTTGTGATGTCTGCATTCAACTCACCGAGTGGAACATTCCTCTTGATAGAGCAGTTTGGAAACACTCTTTCTGTAGAATCAGCTTGTTTGTATTTGGACCTCCTTGAGGCCTTCGTTGGAAACGGGTTTTCATCTTATAAACCCAGACAGAAGAATTCTCAGAGTCTTCTTTGTGATGTGTGCTTTCAACTCACCGAGATAAAGATTTCTCTTGATAGAGCAATTTGGAAACACTCTTTTTGTAGAATTTGCAAGGGTACATTGAGAGCGCTTCAGGCCTATGGTAGAAAAGGGAATTCTTTCCATAAAAGGTAGACAGAAGCAATCTCAGAAACTACTTTGTGATGTGTGCATTCAACTCACCGAGTGCAACATTCCTCTTGATAGAGCAGTTTGGAAACATTGTTTCTGTAGAATCTGCAAGTGGATATATGGACCGCTTTGAGGCCTTTGTTGGAAACGGGATTTCTTCCTATAAACCCAGACAGAAGAATTCTCAGAGATTTCTTTGTGATGTGTGAATTCAACTCACAGTGTGGATCCTTCCTTTTGATAGAGCAGTTATGAAACACCGTTTTTGTAGTATTTCCAAGCGGATATTTGGAACGCCTTGAAGCGTATGGTAGAAAAGGAAATATCTTCCCATAAAACCTAGACAGAACCAATCTCAGAAACGACTTTGTGATGTCTGCATTCAACTCACAGAGTTGAACATTTCTCTTGATAGAGCAGTTTTGAAACCCTCTTTCTGAAGGATCTGCAAGTGGATATTTGGAACTCCTTTGGGTCTTCGTTGGAAACGGGATTTCTTCGTATAAATCCAGACAGAAGAATTCTCCGAAACTTCTTTGGTTGTGTGCATTCAAGTCACAGAGTGGAACCTTCCTTTGGATAGAGCAGTTTGAAACGCTCTGGTTGTAGTATTTCCAAGCGGATATTAGAGCGCCTTGAAGCCTATGGTAGAAAAGGAAATATCTTCCCATAAAACCTAGACGGAAGCAATCTCAGAAACTACTGTGTGATGGCTGCATTCCACACACACGGTGGAACATTTTTCTTGATAGAGCAGTTTTGAAACACTCTTTCTGTAGAATCTGCAAGTGGATAATTGGACCGCCTTGAGGCCTTCGTTGGAAACGGGATTTCTTCATGTTACTCTAGACAGAAGAATTCTCAAACACTGCTATGTGATGTTTGCATGCAAGTCACAGAGTGCAACATTCCTCTTGATAGAGCAGTTGGGAAACACTCCTTTTGTAGAATTTGCAATGGGATATTTGGACTTCTTTGAGGCCTTCGTTGGAAACGGGATTTCTTCGTATGAATCTAGACAGAAGAATTCTCAGAAACTTCCTTGTGATGTGTGCATTCAACTCAGCGAGTGGCACCTTCCTTTGGATACAGCAGTTTTGAAACACTGTTTTTGTAGTATTTCCAAGCGGATATTTAGAGCGCCTTGAAGCCTATGCTAGAAATGGAAATATCTCCCCATAAAACCAAGACAGAAGCAATCTCAGAAACTAATGTGTGATGGCTGCATTCCACACACACGGTGGACCATTTCTCTTGATAGAGCAGTTTTGAAACACTCTTTCTGTAGAATCTGCAAGTGGATAATTGGACCTCCTAGAGGCCTTCGTTGGAAACGGGATTTCTTCATCTAAACCTACAGAGAAGAATTCTCAGTAACTTCTTCGGATGTGTGCATTCGACTCACAGAATGGAACATTCCCTTTGGTAGAGCAGTTTTGAGACACCGTTTTTGTAGAATTCCCAAGTGGATATTTAGAGCACTTTGAAGTCTCTGCTAGAAAAGGAAACATCTTCATGTAAAAAGTAGATAGAATCGTTCTCAGAAAGTGCTTAGTGACGTGTGCGTTCAACTCACAGAGTTTAACGTTTCTTTTGATAGAGCGTTTCTGAAACACCCTTCTTGTAGTAGCTGCAAGTGGATATTTGGACCTATTTGAGGCCTTCTTTGGAAACGGGATTTCTTCATGTAACTCTAGATTGAAGAATTTTCAGAAACTCCTTTGTGATGTGTGCATTCAATTCAAAGAGTGAAACCTCCCTTTTCACAGAGCAGTTTGGAAACACTGTTTTTGTAGGATTTCCAAGGGGATATTTATAGCGCATTGAGCCTACGGTAGAAAAAGGAACATCTTCCTATAAAAACTAGACAGAATAATTCTCAGAATCTGCTTTGCGATGTGTGCGTTCAACTCACAGAGTAAAACTTTTCTTTTGATAGAGCAGTTTTGAAACACTCTTTTTGTAGTATTTGCATGTGTATATTTAGAGCGCATTGAAGCCCACAGTAGAAAAGGAAATAACTTCACCTAAAACCTAGACAGAAGCAATCTCAGAAACTACTTTGTGATGTGTACATTCAACTCACAGAGTGGAACTTTTCTCTTTATAGAGCAGTGTTGAAACACTCTTTTTGTAGAAACTGCAAGTGGATATTTGGACCTCTTTGAGGCCTTCGTTGGAAACGGGATTTCTTCCTATAACCCTAGACAGAAGAATTTTCAGAAACCTCATTGTGATGTGTGCGTTCATCTCACAGAGTGGAGTCTTCCGTTTGATAGAGAAGTTTTGAAACCCTGTTCTTGTAGGATTTCCAAGTGGATATTTAGACCACTTTGAAGCCTATGATAGAAAAGGAAACATCTTCATGGAAAACATAGATAGAATCATTCTCAGAAACAACTTTGTGATGTGTGCGTTGAACTCACCGTCTTTAACCTTTCTTTTGGTAGAGAAGTTTTGAAACACTCTCTTTGTAAAGTCTACAAGTGGATATTTTGAGCCCTTGGAGGCATTCTTTGGAAAAGGGAATGTCTTCACATAAAAGGCAGACAGAAGTGTTCTCAGAAACTGCTTTGTGATGTCTGTGTTCAACTCACAGAGTTTAACATTTCCTTTGAGAGAGCGGTTTAGTAACACTCTCTTTGTAGAATTTGGAAGTGTATACTAAGAGCGCTTTGAGGCCTATGGTAGAAAAGGAAATATCTTTCCATAAAAGCTAGACAGAAGCAATCTCAGAAACTCCTTTGTGATGTCTGCATTCAACTCACCGAGTGGAACATTCCTCTTGATAGAGCAGTTTGGAAACACTCTTTCTGTAGAATCAGCTTGTTTGTATTTGGACCTCCTTGAGGCCTTCGTTGGAAACGGGTTTTCATCTTATAAACCCAGACAGAAGAATTCTCAGAGTCTTCTTTGTGATGTGTGCTTTCAACTCACCGAGATAAAGATTTCTCTTGATAGAGCAATTTGGAAACACTCTTTTTGTAGAATTTGCAAGGGTACATTGAGAGCGCTTTCAGGCCTATGGTAGAAAAGGTAGACAGAAGCAATCTCAGAAACTACTTTGTGATGTGTGCATTCAACTCACCGAGTGCAACATTCCTCTTGACCGAGCAGTTTGGAAACATTGTTTCTGTAGAATCTGCAAGTGGATATATGGACCGCTTTGAGGCCTTCGTTGGAAACGGGATTTCTTCCTATAAACCCAGACAGAAGAATTCTCAGAGATTTCTTTGTGATGTGTGAATTCAACTCACAGTGTGGATCCTTCCTTTTGATAGAGCAGTTTTGAAACACCGTTTTTGTAGTATTTCCAAGCGGATATTTGGAACGCCTTGAAGAGTATGGTAGAAAAGGAAATATCTTCCCATAAAACCTAGACAGAACCCATCTCAGAAACGACTTTGTGATGTCTGCATTCAACTCACAGAGTTGAACATTTCTCTTGATAGAGCAGTTTTGAAACCCTCTTTCTGAAGGATCTGCAAGTGGATATTTGGAACTCCTTTGGGTCTTCGTTGGAAACGGGATTTCTTCGTATAAATCCAGACAGAAGAATTCTCCGAAACTTCTTTGGTTGTGTGCATTCAAGTCACAGAGTGGAACCTTCCTTTGGATAGAGCAGTTTGAAACGCTGTGGTTGTAGTATTTCCAAGCGGATATTAGAGCGCCTTGAAGCCTATGGTAGAAAAGGAAATATCTTCCCATAAAACCTAGACGGAAGCAATCTCAGAAACTACTGTGTGATGGCTGCATTCCACACACACGGTGGAACATTTCTCTTGATAGAGCAGTTTTGAAACACTCTTTCTGTAGAATCTGCAAGTGGATAATTGGACCGCCTTGAGGCCTTCGTTGGAAACGGGATTTCTTCATGTTACTCTAGACAGAAGAATTCTCAAACACTGCTATGTGATGTTTGCATTCAAGTCACAGAGTGCAACATTCCTCTTGATAGAGCAGTTGGGAAACACTCCTTTTGTAGAATTTGCAATGGGATATTTGGACTTCTTTGAGGCCTTCGTTGGAAACGGGATTTCTTCGTATGAATCTAGACAGAAGAATTCTCAGAAACTTCCTTGTGATGTGTGCATTCAACTCAGCGAGTGGCACCTTCCTTTGGATACAGCAGTTTTGAAACCCTGTTTTTGTACTATTTCCAAGCGGATATTTAGAGCGCCTTGAAGCCTATGCTAGAAATGGAAATATCTCCCCATAAAACCAAGACAGAAGCAATCTCAGAAACTAATGTGTGATGGCTGCATTCCACACACACGGTGGACCATTTCTCTGGATAGAGCAGTTTTGAAACACTCTTTCTGTAGAATCTGCAAGTGGATAATTGGACCTCCTAGAGGCCTTCGTTGGAAACGGGATTTCTTCATCTAAACCTACAGAGAAGAATTCTCAGTAACTTCTTCGGATGTGTGCATTCGACTCACAGAATGGAACATTCCCTTTGATAGAGCAGTTTTGAGACACCGTTTTTGTAGAATTCCCAAGTGGATATTTAGAGCACTTTGAAGTCTCTGCTAGAAAAGGAAACATCTTCATGTAAAAAGTAGATAGAATCGTTCTCAGAAAGTGCTTAGTGACGTGTGTGTTCAACTCACAGAGTTTAACGTTTCTTTTGATAGAGCGTTTCTGAAACACCCTGCTTGTAGTAGCTGCAAGTGGATATTTGGACCTATTTGAGGCCTTCTTTGGAAACGGGATTTCTTCATGTAACTCTAGATTGAAGAATTTTCAGAAACTCCTTTGTGATGTGTGCATTCAATTCAAAGAGTGAAACCTCCCTTTTCACAGAGCAGTTTTGAAACACTGTTTTTGTAGGATTTCCAAGGGGATATTTATAGCGCATTGAGCCTATGGCAGAAAAAGAAACATCTTCCTATAAAAACTAGACAGAATAATTCTCAGAATCTGCTTTGCGATGTGTGCGTTCAACTCACAGAGTAAAACTTTTCTTTTGATAGAGCAGTTTTGAAACACTCTTTTTGTAGTATTTGCATGTGTATATTTAGAGCGCATTGAAGCACACAGTAGAAAAGGAAATAACTTCACCTAAAACCTAGACAGAAGCAATCTCAGAAACTACTTTGTGATGTGTACATTCAACTCACAGAGTGGAACTTTTCTCTTTATAGAGCAGTGTTGAAACACTCTTTTTGTAGAAACTGCAAGTGGATATTTGGACCTCTTTGAGGCCTTCGTTGGAAACGGGATTTCTTCCTATAACCCTAGACAGAAGAATTTTCAGAAACCTCATTGTGATGTGTGCGTTCATCTCACAGAGTGGAGTCTTCCGTTTGATAGAGAAGTTTTGAAACCCTGTTCTTGTAGGATTTCCAAGTGGATATTTAGACCACTTTGAAGCCTATGATAGAAAAGGAAACATCTTCATGGAAAACATAGATAGAATCATTCTCAGAAACAACTTTGTGATGTGTGCGTTGAACTCACCGTCTTTAACCTTTCTTTTGGTAGAGAAGTTTTGAAACACTCTCTTTGTAAAGTCTACAAGTGGATATTTTGAGCCCTTGGAGGCATTCTTTGGAAAAGGGAATGTCTTCACATAAAAGGCAGACAGAAGTGTTCTCAGAAACTGCTTTGTGATGTCTGTGTTCAACTCACAGAGTTTAACATTTCCTTTGAGAGAGCGGTTTAGTAACACTCTCTTTGTAGAATTTGGAAGTGTATACTAAGAGCGCTTTGAGGCCTATGGTAGAAAAGGAAATATCTTTCCATAAAAGCTAGACAGAAGCAATCTCAGAAACTCCTTTGTGATGTCTGCATTCAACTCACCGAGTGGAACATTCCTCTTGATAGAGCAGTTTGGAAACACTCTTTCTGTAGAATCAGCTTGTTTGTATTTGGACCTCCTTGAGGCCTTCGTTGGAAACGGGTTTTCATCTTATAAACCCAGACAGAAGAATTCTCAGAGTCTTCTTTGTGATGTGTGCTTTCAACTCACCGAGATAAAGATTTCTCTTGATAGAGCAATTTGGAAACACTCTTTTTGTAGAATTTGCAAGGGTACATTGAGAGCGCTTTCAGGCCTATGGTAGAAAAGGGAATATCTTTCCATAAAAGGTAGACAGAAGCAATCTCAGAAACTACTTTGTGATGTGTGCATTCAACTCACCGAGTGCAACATTCCTCTTGACCGAGCAGTTTGGAAACATTGTTTCTGTAGAATCTGCAAGTGGATATTTGGACCTCTTTGAGGCCTTCGTTGGAAACGGGATTTCTTCCTATAAACCCAGACAGAAGAATTCTCAGAGACTTCTTTGTGATGTGTGAATTCAACTCACAGTGTGGATCCTTCCTTTTGATAGAGCAGTTTTGAAACACTGTTTTTGTAGTATTTCCAAGCGGATATTTGGAACGCCTTGAAGCGTATGGTAGAAAAGGAAATATCTTCCCATAAAACCTAGACAGAACCAATCTCAGAAACGACTTTGTGATGTCTGCATTCAACTCACAGAGTTGAACATTTCTCTTGATAGAGCAGTTTTGAAACCCTCTTTCTGAAGGATCTGCAAGTGGATATTTGGAACTCCTTTGGGTCTTCGTTGGAAACGGGATTTCTTCGTATAAATCTAGACAGAAGAATTCTCCGAAACTTCTTTGGTTGTGTGCATTCAACTCACAGAGTGGAACCTTCCTTTGGATAGAGCAGTTTGAAACGCTGTGGTTGTAGTATTTCCAAGCGGATATTAGAGCGCGTTGAAGCCTATGGTAGAAAAGGAAATATCTTCCCATAAAACCTAGACGGAAGCAATCTCAGAAACTACTGTGTGATGGCTGCATTCCACACACACGGTGGAACATTTCTCTTGATAGAGCAGTTTTGAAACACTCTTTCTGTAGAATCTGCAAGTGGATAATTGGACCGCCTTGAGGCCTTCGTTGGAAACGGGATTTCTTCATGTTACTCTAGACAGAAGAATTCTCAAACACTGCTATGTGATGTTTGCATTCAAGTCACAGAGTGCAACATTCCTCTTGATAGAGCAGTTGGGAAACACTCCTTTTGTAGAATTTGCAATGGGATATTTGGACTTCTTTGAGGCCTTCATTGGAAACGGGATTTCTTCGTATGAATCTAGACAGAAGAATTCTCAGAAACTTCCTTGTGATGTGTGCATTCAACTCAGCGAGTGGCACCTTCCTTTGGATACAGCAGTTTTGAAACACTGTTTTTGTACTATTTCCAAGCGGATATTTAGAGCGCCTTGAAGCCTATGCTAGAAATGGAAATATCTCCCCATAAAACCAAGACAGAAGCAATCTCAGAAACTAATGTGTGATGGCTGCATTCCACACACACGGTGGACCATTTCTCTTGATAGAGCAGTTTTGAAACACTCTTTCTGTAGAATCTGCAAGTGGATAATTGGACCTCCTAGAGGCCTTCGTTGGAAACGGGATTTCTTCATCTAAACCTACAGAGAAGAATTCTCAGTAACTTCTTCGGATGTGTGCATTCGACTCACAGAATGGAACATTCCCTTTGATAGAGCAGTTTTGAGACACCGTTTTTGTAGAATTCCCAAGTGGATATTTAGAGCACTTTGAAGTCTCTGCTAGAAAAGGAAACATCTTCATGTAAAAAGTAGATAGAATCGTTCTCAGAAAGTGCTTAGTGACGTGTGTGTTCAACTCACAGAGTTTAACGTTTCTTTTGATAGAGCGTTTCTGAAACACCCTTCTTGTAGTAGCTGCAAGTGGATATTTGGACCTATTTGAGGCCTTCTTTGGAAACGGGATTTCTTCATGTAACTCTAGATTGAAGAATTTTCAGAAACTCCTTTGTGATGTGTGCATTCAATTCAAAGAGTGAAACCTCCCTTTTCACAGAGCAGTTTTGAAACACTGTTTTTGTAGGATTTCCAAGGGGATATATATAGCGCATTGAGCCTACGGCAGAAAAAGAAACATCTTCCTATAAAAACTAGACAGAATAATTCTCAGAATCTGCTTTGCGATGTGTGCGTTCAACCCACAGAGTAAAACTTTTCTTTTGATAGAGCAGTTTTGAAACACTCTTTTTGTAGTATTTGCATGTGTATATTTAGAGCGCATTGAAGCCCACAGTAGAAAAGGAAATAACTTCACCTAAAACCTAGACAGAAGCAATCTCAGAAACTACTTTGTGATGTGTACATTCAACTCACAGAGTGGAACTTTCCTCTTTATAGAGCAGTGTTGAAACACTCTTTTTGTAGAAACTGCAAGTGGATATATGGACCTCTTTGAGGCCTTCGTTGGAAACGGGATTTCTTCCTATAACCCTAGACAGAAGAATTTTCAGAAACCTCATTGTGATGTGTGCGTTCATCTCACAGAGTGGAGTCTTCCGTTTGATAGAGAAGTTTTGAAACCCTGTTCTTGTAGGATTTCCAAGTGGATATTTAGACCACTTTGAAGCCTATGATAGAAAAGGAAACATCTTCATGGAAAACATAGATAGAGAATCATTCTCAGAAACAACTTTGTGATGTGTGCGTTGAACTCACCGTCTTTAACCTCTCTTTTGGTAGAGAAGTTTTGAAACACTCTCTTTGTAAAGTCTACAAGTGGATATTTTGAGCCCTTGGAGGCATTCTTTGGAAAAGGGAATGTCTTCACATAAAAGGCAGACAGAAGTGTTCTCAGAAACTGCTTTGTGATGTCTGTGTTCAACTCACAGAGTTTAACATTTCCTTTGAGAGAGCGGTTTAGTAACACTCTCTTTGTAGAATTTGGAAGTGTATACTAAGAGCGCTTTGAGGCCTATGGTAGAAAAGGAAATATCTTTCCATAAAAGCTAGACAGAAGCAATCTCAGAAACTCCTTTGTGATGTCTGCATTCAACTCACCGAGTGGAACATTCCTCTTGATAGAGCAGTTTGGAAACACTCTTTCTGTAGAATCAGCTTGTTTGTATTTGGACCTCCTTGAGGCCTTCGTTGGAAACGGGTTTTCATCTTATAAACCCAGACAGAAGAATTCTCAGAGTCTTCTTTGTGATGTGTGCTTTCAACTCACCGAGATAAAGATTTCTCTTGATAGAGCAATTTGGAAACACTCTTTTTGTAGAATTTGCAAGGGTACATTGAGAGCGCTTTCAGGCCTATGGTAGAAAAGGGAATATCTTTCCATCAAAGGTAGACAGAAGCAATCTCAGAAACTACTTTGTGATGTGTGCATTCAACTCACCGAGTGCAACATTCCTCTTGATAGAGCAGTTTGGAAACATTGTTTCTGTAGAATCTGCAAGTGGATATATGGACCGCTTTGAGGCCTTCGTTGGAAACGGGATTTCTTCCTATAAACCCAGACAGAAGAATTCTCAGAGACTTCTTTGTGATGTGTGAATTCAACTCACAGTGTGGATCCTTCCTTTTGATAGAGCAGTTTTGAAACACTGTTTTTGTAGTATTTCCAAGCGGATATTTGGAACGCCTTGAAGCGTATGGTAGAAAAGGAAATATCTTCCCATAAAACCTAGACAGAACCCATCTCAGAAACGACTTTGTGATGTCTGCATTCAACTCACAGAGTTGAAGATTTCTCTTGATAGAGCAGTTTTGAAACCCTCTTTCTGAAGGATCTGCAAGTGGATATTTGGAACTCCTTTGGGTCTTCGTTGGAAACGGGATTTCTTCGTATAAATCCAGACAGAAGAATTCTCCGAAACTTCTTTGGTTGTGTGCATTCAAGTCACAGAGTGGAACCTTCCTTTGGATAGAGCAGTTTGAAACGCTGTGGTTGTAGTATTTCCAAGCGGATATTAGAGCGCCTTGAGGCCTATGGTAGAAAAGGAAATATCTTCCCATAAAACCTAGACGGAAGCAATCTCAGAAACTACTGTGTGATGGCTGCATTCCACACACACGGTGGAACATTTCTCTTGATAGAGCAGTTTTGAAACACTCTTTCTGTAGAATCTGCAAGTGGATAATTGGACCGCCTTGAGGCCTTCGTTGGAAACGGGATTTCTTCATGTTACTCTAGACAGAAGAATTCTCAAACACTGCTGTGTGATGTTTGCATGCAAGTCACAGAGTGCAACATTCCTCTTGATAGAGCAGTTGGGAAACACTCCTTTTGTAGAATTTGCAATGGGATATTTGGACTTCTTTGAGGCCTTCGTTGGAAACGGGATTTCTTCGTATGAATACTAGACAGAAGAATTCTCAGAAACTTCCTTGTGATGTGTGCATTCAACTCAGCGAGTGGCACCTTCCTTTGGATACAGCAGTTTTGAAACACTGTTTTTGTAGTATTTCCAAGCGGATATTTAGAGCGCCTTGAAGCCTATGCTAGAAATGGAAATATCTCCCCATAAAACCAAGACAGAAGCAATCTCAGAAACTAATGTGTGATGGCTGCATTCCACACACACGGTGGACCATTTCTCTTGATAGAGCAGTTTTGAAACACTCTTTCTGTAGAATCTGCAAGTGGATAATTGGACCTCCTAGAGGCCTTCGTTGGAAACGGGATTTCTTCATCTAAACCTACAGAGAAGAATTCTCAGTAACTTCTTCGGATGTGTGCATTCGACTCACAGAATGGAACATTCCCTTTGATAGAGCAGTTTTGAGACACCGTTTTTGTAGAATTCCCAAGTGGATATTTAGAGCACTTTGAAGTCTCTGCTAGAAAAGGAAACATCTTCATGTAAAAAGTAGATAGAATCGTTCTCAGAAAGTGCTTAGTGACGTGTGTGTTCAACTCACAGAGTTTAACGTTTCTTTTGATAGAGCGTTTCTGAAACACCCTTCTTGTAGTAGCTGCAAGTGGATATTTGGACCTATTTGAGGCCTTCTTTGGAAACGGGATTTCTTCATGTAACTCTAGATTGAAGAATTTTCAGAAACTCCTTTGTGATGTGTGCATTCAATTCAAAGAGTGAAACCTCCCTTTTCACAGAGCAGTTTTGAAACACTGTTTTTGTAGGATTTCCAAGGGGATATTTATAGCGCATTGATCCTATGGCAGAAAAAGAAACATCTTCCTATAAAAACTAGACAGAATAATTCTCAGAATCTGCTTTGCGATGTGTGCGTTCAACTCACAGAGTAAAACTTTTCTTTTGATAGAGCAGTTTTGAAACACTCTTTTTGTAGTATTTGCATGTGTATATTTAGAGCGCATTGAAGCCCACAGTAGAAAAGGAAATAACTTCACCTAAAACCTAGACAGAAGCAATCTCAGAAACTACTTTGTGATGTGTACATTCAACTCACAGAGTGGAACTTTCCTCTTTATAGAGCAGTGTTGAAACACTCTTTTTGTAGAAACTGCAAGTGGATATTTGGACCTTCTTTGAGGCCTTCGTTGGAAACGGGATTTCTTCCTATAACCCTAGACAGAAGAATTTTCAGAAACCTCATTGTGATGTGTGCGTTCATCTCACAGAGTGGAGTCTTCCGTTTGATAGAGAAGTTTTGAAACCGTGTTCTTGTAGGATTTCCAAGTGGATATTTAGACCACTTTGAAGCCTATGATAGAAAAGGAAACATCTTCATGAAAAACATAGATAGAATCATTCTCAGAAACAACTTTGTGATGTGTGCGTTGAACTCACCGTCTTTAACCTTTCTTTTGGTAGAGAAGTTTTGAAACACTCTCTTTGTAAAGTCTACAAGTGGATATTTTGAGCCCTTGGAGGCATTCTTTGGAAAAGGGAATGTCTTCACATAAAAGGCAGACAGAAGTGTTCTCAGAAACTGCTTTGTGATGTCTGTGTTCAACTCACAGAGTTTAACATTTCCTTTGAGAGAGCGGTTTAGTAACACTCTCTTTGTAGAATTTGGAAGTGTATACTAAGAGCGCTTTGAGGCCTATGGTAGAAAAGGAAATATCTTTCCATAAAAGCTAGACAGAAGCAATCTCAGAAACTCCTTTGTGATGTCTGCATTCAACTCACCGAGTGGAACATTCCTCTTGATAGAGCAGTTTGGAAACACTCTTTCTGTAGAATCAGCTTGTTTGTATTTGGACCTCCTTGAGGCCTTCGTTGGAAACGGGTTTTCATCTTATAAACCCAGACAGAAGAATTCTCAGAGTCTTCTTTGTGATGTGTGCTTTCAACTCACCGAGATAAAGATTTCTCTTGATAGAGCAATTTGGAAACACTCTTTTTGTAGAATTTGCAAGGGTACATTGAGAGCGCTTTCAGGCCTATGGTAGAAAAGGGAATATCTTTCCATAAAAGGTAGACAGAAGCAATCTCAGAAACTACTTTGTGATGTGTGCATTCAACTCACCGAGTGCAACATTCCTCTTGACTGAGCAGTTTGGAAACATTGTTTCTGTAGAATCTGCAAGTGGATATTTGGACCTCTTTGAGGCCTTCGTTGGAAACGGGATTTCTTCCTATAAACCCAGACAGAAGAATTCTCAGAGACTTCTTTGTGATGTGTGAATTCAACTCACAGTGTGGATCCTTCCTTTTGATAGAGCAGTTTTGAAACACCGTTTTTGTAGTATTTCCAAGCGGATATTTGGAACGCCTTGAAGCGTATGGTAGAAAAGGAAATATCTTCCCATAAAACCTAGACAGAACCCATCTCAGAAACGACTTTGTGATGTCTGCATTCAACTCACAGAGTTGAACATTTCTCTTGATAGAGCAGTTTTGAAACCCTCTTTCTGAAGGATCTGCAAGTGGATATTTGGAACTCCTTTGGGTCTTCGTTGGAAACGGGATTTCTTCGTATAAATCCAGACAGAAGAATTCTCCGAAACTTCTTTGGTTGTGTGCATTCAAGTCACAGAGTGGAACCTTCCTTTGGATAGAGCAGTTTGAAACGCTGTGGTTGTAGTATTTCCAAGCGGATATTAGAGCGCCTTGAGGCCTATGGTAGAAAAGGAAATATCTTCCCATAAAACCTAGACGGAAGCAATCTCAGAAACTACTGTGTGATGGCTGCATTCCACACACACGGTGGAACATTTCTCTTGATAGAGCAGTTTTGAAACACTCTTTCTGTAGAATCTGCAAGTGGATAATTGGACCGCCTTGAGGCCTTCGTTGGAAACGGGATTTCTTCATGTTACTCTAGACAGAAGAATTCTCAAACACTGCTGTGTGATGTTTGCATGCAAGTCACAGAGTGCAACATTCCTCTTGATAGAGCAGTTGGGAAACACTCCTTTTGTAGAATTTGCAATGGGATATTTGGACTTCTTTGAGGCCTTCGTTGGAAACGGGATTTCTTCGTATGAATCTAGACAGAAGAATTCTCAGAAACTTCCTTGTGATGTGTGCATTCAACTCAGCGAGTGGCACCTTCCTTTGGATACAGCAGTTTTGAAACACTGTTTTTGTAGTATTTCCAAGCGGATATTTAGAGCGCCTTGAAGCCTATGCTAGAAATGGAAATATCTCCCCATAAAACCAAGACAGAAGCAATCTCAGAAACTAATGTGTGATGGCTGCATTCCACACACACGGTGGACCATTTCTCTTGATAGAGCAGTTTTGAAACACTCTTTCTGTAGAATCTGCAAGTGGATAATTGGACCTCCTAGAGGCCTTCGTTGGAAACGGGATTTCTTCATCTAAACCTACAGAGAAGAATTCTCAGTAACTTCTTCGGATGTGTGCATTCGACTCACACAATGGAACATTCCGTTTGATAGAGCAGTTTTGAGACACCGTTTTTGTAGAATTCCCAAGTGGATATTTAGAGCACTTTGAAGTCTCTGCTAGAAAAGGAAACATCTTCATGTAAAAAGTAGATAGAATCGTTCTCAGAAAGTGCTTAGTGACGTGTGTGTTCAACTCACAGAGTTTAACGTTTCTTTTGATAGAGCGTTTCTGAAACACCCTTCTTGTAGTAGCTGCAAGTGGATATTTGGACCTATTTGAGGCCTTCTTTGGAAACGGGATTTCTTCATGTAACTCTAGATTGAAGAATTTTCAGAAACTCCTTTGTGATGTGTGCATTCAATTCAAAGAGTGAAACGTCCCTTTTCACAGAGCAGTTTTGAAACACTGTTTTTGTAGGATTTCCAAGGGGATATTTATAGCGCATTGATCCTATGGCAGAAAAAGAAACATCTTCCTATAAAAACTAGACAGAATAATTCTCAGAATCTGCTTTGCGATGTGTGCGTTCAACCCACAGAGTAAAACTTTTCTTTTGATAGAGCAGTTTTGAAACACTCTTTTTGTAGTATTTGCATGTGTATATTTAGAGCGCATTGAAGCCCACAGTAGAAAAGGAAATAACTTCACCTAAAACCTAGACAGAAGCAATCTCAGAAACTACTTTGTGATGTGTACATTCAACTCACAGAGTGGAACTTTCCTCTTTATAGAGCAGTGTTGAAACACTCTTTTTGTAGAAACTGCAAGTGGATATTTGGACCTCTTTGAGGCCTTCGTTGGAAATGGGATTTCTTCCTATAACCCTAGACAGAAGAATTTTCAGAAACCTCATTGTGATGTGTGCGTTCATCTCACAGAGTGGAGTCTTCCGTTTGATAGAGAAGTTTTGAAACCCTGTTCTTGTAGGATTTCCAAGTGGATATTTAGACCACTTTGAAGCCTATGATAGAAAAGGAAACATCTTCATGGAAAACATAGATAGAATCATTCTCAGAAACAACTTTGTGATGTGTGCGTTGAACTCACCGTCTTTAACCTTTCTTTTGGTAGAGAAGTTTTGAAACACTCTCTTTGTAAAGTCTACAAGTGGATATTTTGAGCCCTTGGAGGCATTCTTTGGAAAAGGGAATGTCTTCACATAAAAGGCAGACAGAAGTGTTCTCAGAAACTGCTTTGTGATGTCTGTGTTCAACTCACAGAGTTTAACATTTCCTTTGAGAGAGCGGTTTAGTAACACTCTCTTTGTAGAATTTGGAAGTGTATACTAAGAGCGCTTTGAGGCCTATGGTAGAAAAGGAAATATCTTTCCATAAAAGCTAGACAGAAGCAATCTCAGAAACTCCTTTGTGATGTCTGCATTCAACTCACCGAGTGGAACATTCCTCTTGATAGAGCAGTTTGGAAACACTCTTTCTGTAGAATCAGCTTGTTTGTATTTGGACCTCCTTGAGGCCTTCGTTGGAAACGGGTTTTCATCTTATAAACCCAGACAGAAGAATTCTCAGAGTCTTCTTTGTGATGTGTGCTTTCAACTCACCGAGATAAAGATTTCTCTTGATAGAGCAATTTGGAAACACTCTTTTTGTAGAATTTGCAAGGGTACATTGAGAGCGCTTTCAGGCCTATGGTAGAAAAGGGAATATCTTTCCATAAAAGGTAGACAGAAGCAATCTCAGAAACTACTTTGTGATGTGTGCATTCAACTCACCGAGTGCAACATTCCTCTTGACCGAGCAGTTTGGAAACATTGTTTCTGTAGAATCTGCAAGTGGATATTTGGACCTCTTTGAGGCCTTCGTTGGAAACGGGATTTCTTCCTATAAACCCAGACAGAAGAATTCTCAGAGACTTCTTTGTGATGTGTGAATTCAACTCACAGTGTGGATCCTTCCTTTTGATAGAGCAGTTTTGAAACACTGTTTTTGTAGTATTTCCAAGCGGATATTTGGAACGCCTTGAAGCGTATGGTAGAAAAGGAAATATCTTCCCATAAAACCTAGACAGAACCAATCTCAGAAACGACTTTGTGATGTCTGCATTCAACTCACAGAGTTGAACATTTCTCTTGATAGAGCAGTTTTGAAACCCTCTTTCTGAAGGATCTGCAAGTGGATATTTGGAACTCCTTTGGGTCTTCGTTGGAAACGGGATTTCTTCGGTATAAATCTAGACAGAAGATTCTCCGAAACTTCTTTGGTTGTGTGCATTCAAGTCACAGAGTGGAACCTTCCTTTGGATAGAGCAGTTTGAAACGCTGTGGTTGTAGTATTTCCAAGCGGATATTAGAGCGCCTTGAAGCCTATGGTAGAAAAGGAAATATCTTCCCATAAAACCTAGACGGAAGCAATCTCAGAAACTACTGTGTGATGGCTGCATTCCACACACACGGTGGAACATTTCTCTTGATAGAGCAGTTTTGAAACACTCTTTCTGTAGAATCTGCAAGTGGATAATTGGACCGCCTTGAGGCCTTCGTTGGAAACGGGATTTCTTCATGTTACTCTAGACAGAAGAATTCTCAAACACTGCTGTGTGATGTTTGCATGCAAGTCACAGAGTGCAACATTCCTCTTGATAGAGCAGTTGGGAAACACTCCTTTTGTAGAATTTGCAATGGGATATTTGGACTTCTTTGAGGCCTTCGTTGGAAACGGGATTTCTTCGTATGAATCTAGACAGAAGAATTCTCAGAAACTTCCTTGTGATGTGTGCATTCAACTCAGCGAGTGGCACCTTCCTTTGGATACAGCAGTTTTGAAACACTGTTTTTGTAGTATTTCCAAGCGGATATTTAGAGCGCCTTGAAGCCTATGCTAGAAATGGAAATATCTCCCCATAAAACCAAGACAGAAGCAATCTCAGAAACTAATGTGTGATGGCTGCATTCCACACACACGGTGGACCATTTCTCTTGATAGAGCAGTTTTGAAACACTCTTTCTGTAGAATCTGCAAGTGGATAATTGGACCTCCTAGAGGCCTTCGTTGGAAACGGGATTTCTTCATCTAAACCTACAGAGAAGAATTCTCAGTAACTTCTTCGGATGTGTGCATTCGACTCACAGAATGGAACATTCCCTTTGATAGAGCAGTTTTGAGACACCGTTTTTGTAGAATTCCCAAGTGGATATTTAGAGCACTTTGAAGTCTCTGCTAGAAAAGGAAACATCTTCATGTAAAAAGTAGATAGAATCGTTCTCAGAAAGTGCTTAGTGACGTGTGCGTTCAACTCACAGAGTTTAACGTTTCTTTTGATAGAGCGTTTCTGAAACACCCTTCTTGTAGTAGCTGCAAGTGGATATTTGGACCTATTTGAGGCCTTCTTTGGAAACGGGATTTCTTCATGTAACTCTAGATTGAAGAATTTTCAGAAACTCCTTTGTGATGTGTGCATTCAATTCAAAGAGTGAAACCTCCCTTTTCACAGAGCAGTTTTGAAACACTGTTTTTGTAGGATTTCCAAGGGGATATTTATAGCGCATTGAGCCTATGGCAGAAAAAGAAACATCTTCCTATAAAAACTAGACAGAATAATTCTCAGAATCTGCTTTGCGATGTGTGCGTTCAACTCACAGAGTAAAACTTTTCTTTTGATAGAGCAGTTTTGAAACACTCTTTTTGTAGTATTTGCATGTGTATATTTAGAGCGCATTGAAGCCCACAGTAGAAAAGGAAATAACTTCACCTAAAACCTAGACAGAAGCAATCTCAGAAACTACTTTGTGATGTGTACATTCAACTCACAGAGTGGAACTTTCCTCTTTATAGAGCAGTGTTGAAACACTCTTTTTGTAGAAACTGCAAGTGGATATTTGGACCTCTTTGAGGCCTTCGTTGGAAACGGGATTTCTTCCTATAACCCTAGACAGAAGAATTTTCAGAAACCTCATTGTGATGTGTGCGTTCATCTCACAGAGTGGAGTCTTCCGTTTGATAGAGAAGTTTTGAAACCCTGTTCTTGTAGGATTTCCAAGTGGATATTTAGACCACTTTGAAGCCTATGATAGAAAAGGAAACATCTTCATGGAAAACATAGATAGAATCATTCTCAGAAACAACTTTGTGATGTGTGCGTTGAACTCACCGTCTTTAACCTTTCTTTTGGTAGAGAAGTTTTGAAACACTCTCTTTGTAAAGTCTACGAGTGGATATTTTGAGCCCTTGGAGGCATTCTTTGGAAAAGGGAATGTCTTCACATAAAAGGCAGACAGAAGTGTTCTCAGAAACTGCTTTGTGATGTCTGTGTTCAACTCACAGAGTTTAACATTTCCTTTGAGAGAGCGGTTTAGTAACACTCTCTTTGTAGAATTTGGAAGTGTATACTAAGAGCGCTTTGAGGCCTATGGTAGAAAAGGAAATATCTTTCCATAAAAGCTAGACAGAAGCAATCTCAGAAACTCCTTTGTGATGTCTGCATTCAACTCACCGAGTGGAACATTCCTCTTGATAGAGCAGTTTGGAAACACTCTTTCTGTAGAATCAGCTTGTTTGTATTTGGACCTCCTTGAGGCCTTCGTTGGAAACGGGTTTTCATCTTATAAACCCAGACAGAAGAATTCTCAGAGTCTTCTTTGTGATGTGTGCTTTCAACTCACCGAGATAAAGATTTCTCTTGATAGAGCAATTTGGAAACACTCTTTTTGTAGAATTTGCAAGGGTACATTGAGAGCGCTTTCAGGCCTATGGTAGAAAAGGGAATATCTTTCCATAAAAGGTAGACAGAAGCATTCTCAGAAACTACTTTGTGATGTGTGCATTCAACTCACCGAGTGCAACATTCCTCTTGACCGAGCAGTTTGGAAACATTGTTTCTGTAGAATCTGCAAGTGGATATTTGGACCTCTTTGAGGCCTTCGTTGGAAACGGGATTTCTTCCTATAAACCGAGACAGAAGAATTCTCAGAGACTTCTTTGTGATGTGTGAATTCAACTCACAGTGTGGATCCTTCCTTTTGATAGAGCAGTTTTGAAACACTGTTTTTGTAGTATTTCCAAGCGGATATTTGGAACGCCTTGAAGCGTATGGTAGAAAAGGAAATATCTTCCCATAAAACCTAGACAGAACCCATCTCAGAAACGACTTTGTGATGTCTGCATTCAACTCACAGAGTTGAACATTTCTCTTGATAGAGCAGTTTTGAAACCCTCTTTCTGAAGGATCTGCAAGTGGATATTTGGAACTCCTTTGGGTCTTCGTTGGAAACGGGATTTCTTCGTATAAATCCAGACAGAAGAATTCTCCGAAACTTCTTTGGTTGTGTGCATTCAAGTCACAGAGTGGAACCTTCCTTTGGATAGAGCAGTTTGAAACGCTGTGGTTGTAGTATTTCCAAGCGGATATTAGAGCGCCTTGAAGCCTATGGTAGAAAAGGAAATATCTTCCCATAAAACCTAGACGGAAGCAATCTCAGAAACTACTGTGTGATGGCTGCATTCCACACACACGGTGGAACATTTCTCTTGATAGAGCAGTTTTGAAACACTCTTTCTGTAGAATCTGCAAGTGGATAATTGGACCGCCTTGAGGCCTTCGTTGGAAACGGGATTTCTTCATGTTACTCTAGACAGAAGAATTCTCAAACACTGCTATGTGATGTTTGCATTCAAGTCACAGAGTGCAACATTCCTCTTGATAGAGCAGTTGGGAAACACTCCTTTTGTAGAATTTGCAATGGGATATTTGGACTTCTTTGAGGCCTTCGTTGGAAACGGGATTTCTTCGTATGAATCTAGACAGAAGAATTCTCAGAAACTTCCTTGTGATGTGTGCATTCAACTCAGCGAGTGGCACCTTCCTTTGGATACAGCAGTTTTGAAACACTGTTTTTGTAGTATTTCCAAGCGGATATTTAGAGCGCCTTGAAGCCTATGCTAGAAATGGAAATATCTCCCCATAAAACCAAGACAGAAGCAATCTCAGAAACTAATGTGTGATGGCTGCATTCCACACACACGGTGGACCATTTCTCTTGATAGAGCAGTTTTGAAACACTCTTTCTGTAGAATCTGCAAGTGGATAATTGGACCTCCTAGAGGCCTTCGTTGGAAACGGGATTTCTTCATCTAAACCTACAGAGAAGAATTCTCAGTAACTTCTTCGGATGTGTGCATTCGACTCACAGAATGGAACATTCCCTTTGGTAGAGCAGTTTTGAGACACCGTTTTTGTAGAATTCCCAAGTGGATATTTAGAGCACTTTGAAGTCTCTGCTAGAAAAGGAAACATCTTCATGTAAAAAGTAGATAGAATCGTTCTCAGAAAGTGCTTAGTGACGTGTGCGTTCAACTCACAGAGTTTAACGTTTCTTTTGATAGAGCGTTTCTGAAACACCCTTCTTGTAGTAGCTGCAAGTGGATATTTGGACCTATTTGAGGCCTTCTTTGGAAACGGGATTTCTTCATGTAACTCTAGATTGAAGAATTTTCAGAAACTCCTTTGTGATGTGTGCATTCAATTCAAAGAGTGAAACCTCCCTTTTCACAGAGCAGTTTTGAAACACTGTTTTTGTAGGATTTCCAAGGGGATATTTATAGCGCATTGAGCCTATGGCAGAAAAAGAAACATCTTCCTATAAAAACTAGACAGAATAATTCTCAGAATCTGCTTTGCGATGTGTGCGTTCAACTCACAGAGTAAAACTTTTCTTTTGATAGAGCAGTTTTGAAACACTCTTTTTGTAGTATTTGCATGTGTATATTTAGAGCGCATTGAAGCCCACAGTAGAAAAGGAAATAACTTCACCTAAAACCTAGACAGAAGCAATCTCAGAAACTACTTTGTGATGTGTACATTCAACTCACCGAGTGGAACTTTCCTCTTTATAGAGCAGTGTTGAAACACTCTTTTTGTAGAAACTGCAAGTGGATATTTGGACCTCTTTGAGGCCTTCGTTGGAAACGGGATTTCTTCCTATAACCCTAGACAGAAGAATTTTCAGAAACCTCATTGTGATGTGTGCGTTCATCTCACAGAGTGGAGTCTTCCGTTTGATAGAGAAGTTTTGAAACCCTGTTCTTGTAGGATTTCCAAGTGGATATTTAGACCACTTTGAAGCCTATGATAGAAAAGGAAACATCTTCATGGAAAACATAGATAGAATCATTCTCAGAAACAACTTTGTGATGTGTGCGTTGAACTCACCGTCTTTAACCTTTCTTTTGGTAGAGAAGTTTTGAAACACTCTCTTTGTAAAGTCTACAAGTGGATATTTTGAGCCCTTGGAGGCATTCTTTGGAAAAGGGAATGTCTTCACATAAAAGGCAGACAGAAGTGTTCTCAGAAACTGCTTTGTGATGTCTGTGTTCAACTCACAGAGTTTAACATTTCCTTTGAGAGAGCGGTTTAGTAACACTCTCTTTGTAGAATTTGGAAGTGTATACTAAGAGCGCTTTGAGGCCTATGGTAGAAAAGGAAATATCTTTCCATAAAAGCTAGACAGAAGCAATCTCAGAAACTCCTTTGTGATGTCTGCATTCAACTCACCGAGTGGAACATTCCTCTTGATAGAGCAGTTTGGAAACACTCTTTCTGTAGAATCAGCTTGTTTGTATTTGGACCTCCTTGAGGCCTTCGTTGGAAACGGGTTTTCATCTTATAAACCCAGACAGAAGAATTCTCAGAGTCTTCTTTGTGATGTGTGCTTTCAACTCACCGAGATAAAGATTTCTCTTGATAGAGCAATTTGGAAACACTCTTTTTGTAGAATTTGCAAGGGTACATTGAGAGCGCTTTCAGGCCTATGGTAGAAAAGGGAATATCTTTCCATAAAAGGTAGACAGAAGCAATCTCAGAAACTACTTTGTGATGTGTGCATTCAACTCACCGAGTGCAACATTCCTCTTGATAGAGCAGTTTGGAAACATTGTTTCTGTAGAATCTGCAAGTGGATATATGGACCGCTTTGAGGCCTTCGTTGGAAACGGGATTTCTTCCTATAAACCCAGACAGAAGAATTCTCAGAGATTTCTTTGTGATGTGTGAATTCAACTCACAGTGTGGACCCTTCCTTTTGATAGAGCAGTTTTGAAACACCGTTTTTGTAGTATTTCCAAGCGGATATTTGGAACGCCTTGAAGCGTATGGTAGAAAAAGAAATATCTTCCCATAAAACCTAGACAGAACCCATCTCAGAAACGACTTTGTGATGTCTGCATTCAACTCACAGAGTTGAACATTTCTCTTGATAGAGCAGTTTTGAAACCCTCTTTCTGAAGGATCTGCAAGTGGATATTTGGAACTCCTTTGGGTCTTCGTTGGAAATGGGATTTCTTCGTATAAATCCAGACAGAAGAATTCTCCCGAACCTTCTTTGGTTGTGTGCATTCAAGTCACAGAGTGGAACCTTCCTTTGGATAGAGCAGTTTGAAACGCTGTGGTTGTAGTATTTCCAAGCGGATATTAGAGCGCCTTGAGGCCTATGGTAGAAAAGGAAATATCTTCCCATAAAACCTAGACGGAAGCAATCTCAGAAACTACTGTGTGATGGCTGCATTCCACACACACGGTGGAACATTTCTCTTGATAGAGCAGTTTTGAAACACTCTTTCTGTAGAATCTGCAAGTGGATAATTGGACCGCCTTGAGGCCTTCGTTGGAAACGGGATTTCTTCATGTTACTCTAGACAGAAGAATTCTCAAACACTGCTGTGTGATGTTTGCATTCAAGTCACAGAGTGCAACATTCCTCTTGATAGAGCAGTTGGGAAACACTCCTTTTGTAGAATTTGCAATGGGATATTTGGACTTCTTTGAGGCCTTCGTTGGAAACGGGATTTCTTCGTATGAATCTAGACAGAAGAATTCTCAGAAACTTCCTTGTGATGTGTGCATTCAACTCAGCGAGTGGCACCTTCCTTTGGATACAGCAGTTTTGAAACACTGTTTTTGTAGTATTTCCAAGCGGATATTTAGAGCGCCTTGAAGCCTATGCTAGAAATGGAAATATCTCCCCATAAAACCAAGACAGAAGCAATCTCAGAAACTAATGTGTGATGGCTGCATTCCACACACACGGTGGACCATTTCTCTTGATAGAGCAGTTTTGAAACACTCTTTCTGTAGAATCTGCAAGTGGATAATTGGACCTCCTAGAGGCCTTCGTTGGAAACGGGATTTCTTCATCTAAACCTACAGAGAAGAATTCTCAGTAACTTCTTCGGATGTGTGCATTCGACTCACAGAATGGAACATTCCCTTTGGTAGAGCAGTTTTGAGACACCGTTTTTGTAGAATTCCCAAGTGGATATTTAGAGCACTTTGAAGTCTCTGCTAGAAAAGGAAACATCTTCATGTAAAAAGTAGATAGAATCGTTCTCAGAAAGTGCTTAGTGACGTGTGCGTTCAACTCACAGAGTTTAACGTTTCTTTTGATAGAGCGTTTCTGAAACACCCTTCTTGTAGTAGCTGCAAGTGGATATTTGGACCTATTTGAGGCCTTCTTTGGAAACGGGATTTCTTCATGTAACTCTAGATTGAAGAATTTTCAGAAACTCCTTTGTGATGTGTGCATTCAATTCAAAGAGTGAAACCTCCCTTTTCACAGAGCAGTTTTGAAACACTGTTTTTGTAGGATTTCCAAGGGGATATTTATAGCGCATTGAGCCTATGGCAGAAAAAGAAACATCTTCCTATAAAAACTAGACAGAATAATTCTCAGAATCTGCTTTGCGATGTGTGCGTTCAACTCACAGAGTAAAACTTTTCTTTTGATAGAGCAGTTTTGAAACACTCTTTTTGTAGTATTTGCATGTGTATATTTAGAGCGCATTGAAGCCCACAGTAGAAAAGGAAATAACTTCACCTAAAACCTAGACAGAAGCAATCTCAGAAACTACTTTGTGATGTGTACATTCAACTCACAGAGTGGAACTTTTCTCTTTATAGAGCAGTGTTGAAACACTCTTTTTGTAGAAACTGCAAGTGGATATTTGGACCTCTTTGAGGCCTTCGTTGGAAACGGGATTTCTTCCTATAACCCTAGACAGAAGAATTTTCAGAAACCTCATTGTGATGTGTGCGTTCATCTCACAGAGTGGAGTCTTCCGTTTGATAGAGAAGTTTTGAAACCCTGTTCTTGTAGGATTTCCAAGTGGATATTTAGACCACTTTGAAGCCTATGATAGAAAAGGAAACATCTTCATGGAAAACATAGATAGAATCATTCTCAGAAACAACTTTGTGATGTGTGCGTTGAACTCACCGTCTTTAACCTTTCTTTTGGTAGAGAAGTTTTGAAACACTCTCTTTGTAAAGTCTACAAGTGGATATTTTGAGCCCTGGGAGGCATTCTTTGGAAAAGGGAATGTCTTCACATAAAAGGCAGACAGAAGTGTTCTCAGAAACTGCTTTGTGATGTCTGTGTTCAACTCACAGAGTTTAACATTTCCTTTGAGAGAGCGGTTTAGTAACACTCTCTTTGTAGAATTTGGAAGTGTATACTAAGAGCGCTTTGAGGCCTATGGTAGAAAAGGAAATATCTTTCCATAAAAGCTAGACAGAAGCAATCTCAGAAACTCCTTTGTGATGTCTGCATTCAACTCACCGAGTGGAACATTCCTCTTGATAGAGCAGTTTGGAAACACTCTTTCTGTAGAATCAGCTTGTTTGTATTTGGACCTCCTTGAGGCCTTCGTTGGAAACGGGTTTTCATCTTATAAACCCAGACAGAAGAATTCTCAGAGTCTTCTTTGTGATGTGTGCTTTCAACTCACCGAGATAAAGATTTCTCTTGATAGAGCAATTTGGAAACACTCTTTTTGTAGAATTTGCAAGGGTACATTGAGAGCGCTTTCAGGCCTATGGTAGAAAAGGGAATATCTTTCCATAAAAGGTAGACAGAAGCAATCTCAGAAACTACTTTGTGATGTGTGCATTCAACTCACCGAGTGCAACATTCCTCTTGATAGAGCAGTTTGGAAACATTGTTTCTGTAGAATCTGCAAGTGGATATATGGACCGCTTTGAGGCCTTCGTTGGAAACGGGATTTCTTCTTATAAACCCAGACAGAAGAATTCTCAGAGATTTCTTTGTGATGTGTGAATTCAACTCACAGTGTGGATCCTTCCTTTTGATAGAGCAGTTTTGAAACACCGTTTTTGTAGTATTTCCAAGCGGATATTTGGAACGCCTTGAAGCGTATGGTAGAAAAGGAAATATCTTCCCATAAAACCTAGACAGAACCCATCTCAGAAACGACTTTGTGATGTCTGCATTCAACTCACAGAGTTGAACATTTCTCTTGATAGAGCAGTTTTGAAACCCTCTTTCTGAAGGAGCTGCAAGTGGATATTTGGAACTCCTTTGGGTCTTCGTTGGAAACGGGATTTCTTCGTATAAATCCAGACAGAAGAATTCTCCGAAACTTCTTTGGTTGTGTGCATTCAAGTCACAGAGTGGAACCTTCCTTTGGATAGAGCAGTTTGAAACGCTGTGGTTGTAGTATTTCCAAGCGGATATTAGAGCGCCTTGAGGCCTATGGTAGAAAAGGAAATATCTTCCCATAAAACCTAGACGGAAGCAATCTCAGAAACTACTGTGTGATGGCTGCATTCCACACACACGGTGGAACATTTCTCTTGATAGAGCAGTTTTGAAACACTCTTTCTGTAGAATCTGCAAGTGGATAATTGGACCGCCTTGAGGCCTTCGTTGGAAACGGGATTTCTTCATGTTACTCTAGACAGAAGAATTCTCAAACACTGCTATGTGATGTTTGCATTCAAGTCACAGAGTGCAACATTCCTCTTGATAGAGCAGTTGGGAAGCACTCCTTTTGTAGAATTTGCAATGGGATATTTGGACTTCTTTGAGGCCTTCGTTGGAAACGGGATTTCTTCGTATGAATCTAGACAGAAGAATTCTCAGAAACTTCCTTGTGATGTGTGCATTCAACTCAGCGAGTGGCACCTTCCTTTGGATACAGCAGTTTTGAAACACTGTTTTTGTAGTATTTCCAAGCGGATATTTAGAGCGCCTTGAAGCCTATGCTAGAAATGGAAATATCTCCCCATAAAACCAAGACAGAAGCAATCTCAGAAACTAATGTGTGATGGCTGCATTCCACACACACGGTGGACCATTTCTCTTGATAGAGCAGTTTTGAAACACTCTTTCTGTAGAATCTGCAAGTGGATAATTGGACCTCCTAGAGGCCTTCGTTGGAAACGGGATTTCTTCACCTAAACCTACAGAGAAGAATTCTCAGTAACTTCTTCGGATGTGTGCATTCGACTCACAGAATGGAACATTCCCTTTGATAGAGCAGTTTTGAGACACCGTTTTTGTAGAATTCCCAAGTGGATATTTAGAGCACTTTGAAGTCTCTGCTAGAAAAGGAAACATCTTCATGTAAAAAGTAGATAGAATCGTTCTCAGAAAGTGCTTAGTGACGTGTGTGTTCAACTCACAGAGTTTAACGTTTCTTTTGATAGAGCGTTTCTGAAACACCCTTCTTGTAGTAGCTGCAAGTGGATATTTGGACCTACTTGAGGCCTTCTTTGGAAACGGGATTTCTTCATGTAACTCTAGTTTGAAGAATTTTCAGAAACTCCTTTGTGATGTGTGCATTCAATTCAAAGAGTGAAACGTCCCTTTTCACAGAGCAGTTTTGAAACACTGTTTTTGTAGGATTTCCAAGGGGATATTTATAGCGCATT
Source organism: Homo sapiens (assembly GCF_000001405.40). NCBI lineage: Eukaryota > Metazoa > Chordata > Mammalia > Primates > Hominidae > Homo > Homo sapiens. The sequence goes on from NC_000006.12 coordinate 59,210,878, forward strand.
GAGCCTACGGCAGAAAAAGAAACATCTTCCTATAAAAACTAGACAGAATAATTCTCAGAATCTGCTTTGCGATGTGTGCGTTCAACTCACAGAGTAAAACTTTTCTTTTGATAGAGCAGTTTTGAAACACTCTTTTTGTAGTATTTGCATGTGTATATTTAGAGCGCATTGAAGCCCACAGTAGAAAAGGAAATAACTTCACCTAAAACCTAGACAGAAGCAATCTCAGAAACTACTTTGTGATGTATACATTCAACTCACAGAGTGGAACTTTCCTCTTTATAGAGCAGTGTTGAAACACTCTTTTTGTAGAAACTGCAAGTGGATATTTGGACCTCTTTGAGGCCTTCGTTGGAAACGGGATTTCTTCCTATAACCCTAGACAGAAGAATTTTCAGAAACCTCATTGTGATGTGTGCGTTCATCTCACAGAGTGGAGTCTTCCGTTTGATAGAGAAGTTTTGAAACCCTGTTCTTGTAGGATTTCCAAGTGGATATTTAGACCACTTTGAAGCCTATGATAGAAAAGGAAACATCTTCATGGAAAACATAGATAGAATCATTCTCAGAAACAACTTTGTGATGTGTGCGTTGAACTCACCGTCTTTAACCTTTCTTTTGGTAGAGAAGTTTTGAAACACTCTCTTTGTAAAGTCTACAAGTGGATATTTTGAGCCCTTGGAGGCATTCTTTGGAAAAGGGAATGTCTTCACATAAAAGGCAGACAGAAGTGTTCTCAGAAACTGCTTTGTGATGTCTGTGTTCAACTCACAGAGTTTAACATTTCCTTTGAGAGAGCGGTTTAGTAACACTCTCTTTGTAGAATTTGGAAGTGTATACTAAGAGCGCTTTGAGGCCTATGGTAGAAAAGGAAATATCTTTCCATAAAAGCTAGACAGAAGCAATCTCAGAAACTCCTTTGTGATGTCTGCATTCAACTCACCGAGTGGAACATTCCTCTTGATAGAGCAGTTTGGAAACACTCTTTCTGTAGAATCAGCTTGTTTGTATTTGGACCTCCTTGAGGCCTTCGTTGGAAACGGGTTTTCATCTTATAAACCCAGACAGAAGAATTCTCAGAGTCTTCTTTGTGATGTGTGCTTTCAACTCACCGAGATAAAGATTTCTCTTGATAGAGCAATTTGGAAACACTCTTTTTGTAGAATTTGCAAGGGTACATTGAGAGCGCTTTCAGGCCTATGGTAGAAAAGGTAGACAGAAGCAATCTCAGAAACTACTTTGTGATGTGTGCATTCAACTCACCGAGTGCAACATTCCTCTTGATAGAGCAGTTTGGAAACATTGTTTCTGTAGAATCTGCAAGTGGATATATGGACCGCTTTGAGGCCTTCGTTGGAAACGGGATTTCTTCCTATAAACCCAGACAGAAGAATTCTCAGAGATTTCTTTGTGATGTGTGAATTCAACTCACAGTGTGGATCCTTCCTTTTGATAGAGCAGTTTTGAAACACTGTTTTTGTAGTATTTCCAAGCGGATATTTGGAACGCCTTGAAGCGTATGGTAGAAAAGGAAATATCTTCCAATAAAACCTAGACAGAACCCATCTCAGAAACGACTTTGTGATGTCTGCATTCAACTCACAGAGTTGAACATTTCTCTTGATAGAGCAGTTTTGAAACCCTCTTTCTGAAGGAGCTGCAAGTGGATATTTGGAACTCCTTTGGGTCTTCGTTGGAAACGGGATTTCTTCGTATAAATCCAGACAGAAGAATTCTCCGAAACTTCTTTGGTTGTGTGCATTCAAGTCACAGAGTGGAACCTTCCTTTGGATAGAGCAGTTTGAAACGCTGTGGTTGTAGTATTTCCAAGCGGATATTAGAGCGCCTTGAAGCCTATGGTAGAAAAGGAAATATCTTCCCATAAAACCTAGACGGAAGCAATCTCAGAAACTACTGTGTGATGGCTGCATTCCACACACACGGTGGAACATTTCTCTTGATAGAGCAGTTTTGAAACACTCTTTCTGTAGAATCTGCAAGTGGATAATTGGACCGCCTTGAGGCCTTCGTTGGAAACGGGATTTCTTCATGTTACTCTAGACAGAAGAATTCTCAAACACTGCTATGTGATGTTTGCATTCAAGTCACAGACTGCAACATTCCTCTTGATAGAGCAGTTGGGAAACACTCCTTTTGTAGAATTTGCAATGGGATATTTGGACTTCTTTGAGGCCTTCGTTGGAAACGGGATTTCTTCGTATGAATCTAGACAGAAGAATTCTCAGAAACTTCCTTGTGATGTGTGCATTCAACTCAGCGAGTGGCAACTTCCTTTGGATACAGCAGTTTTGAAACACTGTTTTTGTACTATTTCCAAGCGGATATTTAGAGCGCCTTGAAGCCTATGCTAGAAATGGAAATATCTCCCCATAAAACCAAGACAGAAGCAATCTCAGAAACTAATGTGTGATGGCTGCATTCCACACACACGGTGGACCATTTCTCTTGATAGAGCAGTTTTGAAACACTCTTTCTGTAGAATCTGCAAGTGGATAATTGGACCTCCTAGAGGCCTTCGTTGGAAACGGGATTTCTTCATCTAAACCTACAGAGAAGAATTCTCAGTAACTTCTTCGGATGTGTGCATTCGACTCACAGAATGGAACATTCCCTTTGGTAGAGCAGTTTTGAGACACCGTTTTTGTAGAATTCCCAAGTGGATATTTAGAGCACTTTGAAGTCTCTGCTAGAAAAGGAAACATCTTCATGTAAAAAGTAGATAGAATCGTTCTCAGAAAGTGCTTAGTGACGTGTGCGTTCAACTCACAGAGTTTAACGTTTCTTTTGATAGAGCGTTTCTGAAACACCCTTCTTGTAGTAGCTGCAAGTGGATATTTGGACCTATTTGAGGCCTTCTTTGGAAACGGGATTTCTTCATGTAACTCTAGATTGAAGAATTTTCAGAAACTCCTTTGTGATGTGTGCATTCAATTCAAAGAGTGAAACCTCCCTTTTCACAGAGCAGTTTTGAAACACTGTTTTTGTAGGATTTCCAAGGGGATATTTATAGCGCATTGAGCCTATGGCAGAAAAAGAAACATCTTCCTATAAAAACTAGACAGAATAATTCTCAGAATCTGCTTTGCGATGTGTGCGTTCAACTCACAGAGTAAAACTTTTCTTTTGATAGAGCAGTTTTGAAACACTCTTTTTGTAGTATTTGCATGTGTATATTTAGAGCGCATTGAAGCCCACAGTAGAAAAGGAAATAACTTCACCTAAAACCTAGACAGAAGCAATCTCAGAAACTACTTTGTGATGTGTACATTCAACTCACAGAGTGGAACTTTCCTCTTTATAGAGCAGTGTTGAAACACTCTTTTTGTAGAAACTGCAAGTGGATATTTGGACCTCTTTGAGGCCTTCGTTGGAAACGGGATTTCTTCCTATAACCCTAGACAGAAGAATTTTCAGAAACCTCATTGTGATGTGTGCGTTCATCTCACAGAGTGGAGTCTTCCGTTTGATAGAGAAGTTTTGAAACCCTGTTCTTGTAGGATTTCCAAGTGGATATTTAGACCACTTTGAAGCCTATGATAGAAAAGGAAACATGTTCATGGAAAACATAGATAGAATCATTCTCAGAAACAACTTTGTGATGTGTGCGTTGAACTCACCGTCTTTAACCTTTCTTTTGGTAGAGAAGTTTTGAAACACTCTCTTTGTAAAGTCTACAAGTGGATATTTTGAGCCCTTGGAGGCATTCTTTGGAAAAGGGAATGTCTTCACATAAAAGGCAGACAGAAGTGTTCTCAGAAACTGCTTTGTGATGTCTGTGTTCAACTCACAGAGTTTAACATTTCCTTTGAGAGAGCGGTTTAGTAACACTCTCTTTGTAGAATTTGGAAGTGTATACTAAGAGCGCTTTGAGGCCTATGGTAGAAAAGGAAATATCTTTCCATAAAAGCTAGACAGAAGCAATCTCAGAAACTCCTTTGTGATGTCTGCATTCAACTCACCGAGTGGAACATTCCTCTTGATAGAGCAGTTTGGAAACACTCTTTCTGTAGAATCAGCTTGTTTGTATTTGGACCTCCTTGAGGCCTTCGTTGGAAACGGGTTTTCATCTTATAAACCCAGACAGAAGAATTCTCAGAGTCTTCTTTGTGATGTGTGCTTTCAACTCACCGAGATAAAGATTTCTCTTGATAGAGCAATTTGGAAACACTCTTTTTGTAGAATTTGCAAGGGTACATTGAGAGCGCTTTCAGGCCTATGGTAGAAAAGGGAATATCTTTCCATAAAAGGTAGACAGAAGCAATCTCAGAAACTACTTTGTGATGTGTGCATTCAACTCACCGAGTGCAACATTCCTCTTGACCGAGCAGTTTGGAAACATTGTTTCTGTAGAATCTGCAAGTGGATATTTGGACCTCTTTGAGGCCTTCGTTGGAAACGGGATTTCTTCCTATAAACCCAGACAGAAGAATTCTCAGAGACTTCTTTGTGATGTGTGAATTCAACTCACAGTGTGGATCCTTCCTTTTGATAGAGCAGTTTTGAAACACCGTTTTTGTAGTATTTCCAAGCGGATATTTGGAACGCCTTGAAGCGTATGGTAGAAAAGGAAATATCTTCCCATAAAACCTAGACAGAACCCATCTCAGAAACGACTTTGTGATGTCTGCATTCAACTCACAGAGTTGAACATTTCTCTTGATAGAGCAGTTTTGAAACCCTCTTTCTGAAGGATCTGCAAGTGGATATTTGGAACTCCTTTGGGTCTTCGTTGGAAACGGGATTTCTTCGTATAAATCCAGACAGAAGAATTCTCCGAAACTTCTTTGGTTGTGTGCATTCAAGTCACAGAGTGGAACCTTCCTTTGGATAGAGCAGTTTGAAACGCTGTGGTTGTAGTATTTCCAAGCGGATATTAGAGCGCCTTGAGGCCTATGGTAGAAAAGGAAATATCTTCCCATAAAACCTAGACGGAAGCAATCTCAGAAACTACTGTGTGATGGCTGCATTCCACACACACGGTGGAACATTTCTCTTGATAGAGCAGTTTTGAAACACTCTTTCTGTAGAATCTGCAAGTGGATAATTGGACCGCCTTGAGGCCTTCGTTGGAAACGGGATTTCTTCATGTTACTCTAGACAGAAGAATTCTCAAACACTGCTGTGTGATGTTTGCATTCAAGTCACAGAGTGCAACATTCCTCTTGATAGAGCAGTTGGGAAACACTCCTTTTGTAGAATTTGCAATGGGATATTTGGACTTCTTTGAGGCCTTCGTTGGAAACGGGATTTCTTCGTATGAATCTAGACAGAAGAATTCTCAGAAACTTCCTTGTGATGTGTGCATTCAACTCAGTGAGTGGCACCTTCCTTTGGATACAGCAGTTTTGAAACACTGTTTTTGTACTATTTCCAAGCGGATATTTAGAGCGCCTTGAAGCCTATGCTAGAAATGGAAATATCTCCCCATAAAACCAAGACAGAAACAATCTCAGAAACTAATGTGTGATGGCTGCATTCCACACACACGGTGGACCATTTCTCTTGATAGAGCAGTTTTGAAACACTCTTTCTGTAGAATCTGCAAGTGGATAATTGGACCTCCTAGAGGCCCTTCGTTGGAAACGGGATTTCTTCATCTAAACCTACAGAGAAGAATTCTCAGTAACTTCTTCGGATGTGTGCATTCGACTCACAGAATGGAACATTCCCTTTGATAGAGCAGTTTTGAGACACCGTTTTTGTAGAATTCCCAAGTGGATATTTAGAGCACTTTGAAGTCTCTGCTAGAAAAGGAAACATCCTCATGTAAAAAGTAGATAGAATCGTTCTCAGAAAGTGCTTAGTGACGTGTGCGTTCAACTCACAGAGTTTAACGTTTCTTTTGATAGAGCGTTTCTAAAACACCCTTCTTGTAGTAGCTGCAAGTGGATATTTGGACCTATTTGAGGCCTTCTTTGGAAACGGGATTTCTTCATGTAACTCTAGATTGAAGAATTTTCAGAAACTCCTTTGTGATGTGTGCATTCAATTCAAAGAGTGAAACCTCCCTTTTCACAGAGCAGTTTTGAAACACTGTTTTTGTAGGATTTCCAAGGGGATATTTATAGCGCATTGAGCCTATGGCAGAAAAAGAAACATCTTCCTATAAAAACTAGACAGAATAATTCTCAGAATCTGCTTTGCGATGTGCGCGTTCAACCCACAGAGTAAAATTTTCTTTTGATAGAGCAGTTTTGAAACACTCTTTTTGTAGTATTTGCATGTGTATATTTAGAGCGCATTGAAGCCCACAGTAGAAAAGGAAATAACTTCAACTAAAACCTAGACAGAGAGCATCTCAGAACTACTTTGTGATGTGTACATTCAACTCACAGAGTGGAACTTTCCTCTTTATAGAGCAGTGTTGAAACACTCTTTTTGTAGAAACTGCAAGTGGATATTTGGACCTCTTTGAGGCCTTCGTTGGAAACGGGATTTCTTCCTATAACCCTAGACAGAGAATTTTCAGAAACCTCATTGTGATGTGTGCGTTCATCTCACAGAGTGGAGTCTTCCGTTTGATAGAGAAGTTTTGAAACCCTGTTCTTGTAGGATTTCCAAGTGGATATTTAGACCACTTTGAAGCCTATGATAGAAAAGGAAACATCTTCATGGAAAACATAGATAGAATCATTCTCAGAAACAACTTTGTGATGTGTGCGTTGAACTCACCGTCTTTAACCTTTCTTTTGGTAGAGAAGTTTTGAAACACTCTCTTTGTAAAGTCTACAAGTGGATATTTTGAGCCCTTGGAGGCATTCTTTGGAAAAGGGAATGTCTTCACATAAAAGGCAGACAGAAGTGTTCTCAGAAACTGCTTTGTGATGTCTGTGTTCAACTCACAGAGTTTAACATTTCCTTTGAGAGAGCGGTTTAGTAACACTCTCTTTGTAGAATTTGGAAGTGTATACTAAGAGCGCTTTGAGGCCTATGGTAGAAAAGGAAATATCTTTCCATAAAAGCTAGACAGAAGCAATCTCAGAAACTCCTTTGTGATGTCTGCATTCAACTCACCGAGTGGAACATTCCTCTTGATAGAGCAGTTTGGAAACACTCTTTCTGTAGAATCAGCTTGTTTGTATTTGGACCTCCTTGAGGCCTTCGTTGGAAACGGGTTTTCATCTTATAAACCCAGACAGAAGAATTCTCAGAGTCTTCTTTGTGATGTGTGCTTTCAACTCACCGAGATAAAGATTTCTCTTGATAGAGCAATTTGGAAACACTCTTTTTGTAGAATTTGCAAGGGTACATTGAGAGCGCTTTCAGGCCTATGGTAGAAAAGGGAATATCTTTCCATAAAAGGTAGACAGAAGCAATCTCAGAAACTACTTTGTGATGTGTGCATTCAACTCACCGAGTGCAACATTCCTCTTGACCGAGCAGTTTGGAAACATTGTTTCTGTAGAATCTGCAAGTGGATATTTGGACCTCTTTGAGGCCTTCGTTGGAAACGGGATTTCTTCCTATAAACCCAGACAGAAGAATTCTCAGAGACTTCTTTGTGATGTGTGAATTCAACTCACAGTGTGGATCCTTCCTTTTGATAGAGCAGTTTTGAAACACTGTTTTTGTAGTATTTCCAAGCGGATATTTGGAACGCCTTGAAGCGTATGGTAGAAAAGGAAATATCTTCCCATAAAACCTAGACAGAACCAATCTCAGAAACGACTTTGTGATGTCTGCATTCAACTCACAGAGTTGAACATTTCTCTTGATAGAGCAGTTTTGAAACCCTCTTTCTGAAGGATCTGCAAGTGGATATTTGGAACTCCTTTGGGTCTTCGTTGGAAACGGGATTTCTTCGTATAAATCTAGACAGAAGAATTCTCCGAAACTTCTTTGGTTGTGTGCATTCAAGTCACAGAGTGGAACCTTCCTTTGGATAGAGCAGTTTGAAACGCTGTGGTTGTAGTATTTCCAAGCGGATATTAGAGCGCCTTGAGGCCTATGGTAGAAAAGGAAATATCTTCCCATAAAACCTAGACGGAAGCAATCTCAGAAACTACTGTGTGATGGCTGCATTCCACACACACGGTGGAACATTTCTCTTGATAGAGCAGTTTTGAAACACTCTTTCTGTAGAATCTGCAAGTGGATAATTGGACCGCCTTGAGGCCTTCGTTGGAAACGGGATTTCTTCATGTTACTCTAGACAGAAGAATTCTCAAACACTGCTATGTGATGTTTGCATGCAAGTCACAGAGTGCAACATTCCTCTTGATAGAGCAGTTGGGAAACACTCCTTTTGTAGAATTTGCAATGGGATATTTGGACTTCTTTGAGGCCTTCGTTGGAAACGGGATTTCTTCGTATGAATCTAGACAGAAGAATTCTCAGAAACTTCCTTGTGATGTGTGCATTCAACTCAGCGAGTGGCACCTTCCTTTGGATACAGCAGTTTTGAAACACTGTTTTTGTAGTATTTCCAAGCGGATATTTAGAGCGCCTTGAAGCCTATGCTAGAAATGGAAATATCTCCCCATAAAACCAAGACAGAAGCAATCTCAGAAACTAATGTGTGATGGCTGCATTCCACACACACGGTGGACCATTTCTCTTGATAGAGCAGTTTTGAAACACTCTTTCTGTAGAATCTGCAAGTGGATAATTGGACCTCCTAGAGGCCTTCGTTGGAAACGGGATTTCTTCATCTAAACCTACAGAGAAGAATTCTCAGTAACTTCTTCGGATGTGTGCATTCGACTCACAGAATGGAACATTCCCTTTGATAGAGCAGTTTTGAGACACCGTTTTTGTAGAATTCCCAAGTGGATATTTAGAGCACTTTGAAGTCTCTGCTAGAAAAGGAAACATCTTCATGTAAAAAGTAGATAGAATCGTTCTCAGAAAGTGCTTAGTGACGTGTGTGTTCAACTCACAGAGTTTAACGTTTCTTTTGATAGAGCGTTTCTGAAACACCCTGCTTGTAGTAGCTGCAAGTGGATATTTGGACCTATTTGAGGCCTTCTTTGGAAACGGGATTTCTTCATGTAACTCTAGTTTGAAGAATTTTCAGAAACTCCTTTGTGATGTGTGCATTCAATTCAAAGAGTGAAACCTCCCTTTTCACAGAGCAGTTTTGAAACACTGTTTTTGTAGGATTTCCAAGGGGATATTTATAGCGAATTGAGCCTACGGCAGAAAAAGAATCATCTTCCTATAAAAACTAGACAGAATAATTCTCAGAATCTGCTTTGCGATGTGTGCGTTCAACCCACAGAGTAAAACTTTTCTTTTGATAGAGCAGTTTTGAAACACTCTTTTTGTAGTATTTGCATGTGTATATTTAGAGCGCATTGAAGCCCACAGTAGAAAAGGAAATAACTTCACCTAAAACCTAGACAGAAGCAATCTCAGAAACTACTTTGTGATGTGTACATTCAACTCACAGAGTGGAACTTTCCTCTTTATAGAGCAGTGTTGAAACACTCTTTTTGTAGAAACTGCAAGTGGATATTTGGACCTCTTTGAGGCCTTCGTTGGAAACGGGATTTCTTCGTATAACCCTAGACAGAAGAATTTTCAGAAACCTCATTGTGATGTGTGCGTTCATCTCACAGAGTGGAGTCTTCCGTTTGATAGAGAAGCTTTGAAACCCTGTTCTTGTAGGATTTCCAAGTGGATATTTAGACCACTTTGAAGCCTATGATAGAAAAGGAAACATCTTCATGGAAAACATAGATAGAATCATTCTCAGAAACAACTTTGTGATGTGTGCGTTGAACTCACCGTCTTTAACCTTTCTTTTGGTAGAGAAGTTTTGAAACACTCTCTTTGTAAAGTCTACAAGTGGATATTTTGAGCCCTTGGAGGCATTCTTTGGAAAAGGGAATGTCTTCACATAAAAGGCAGACAGAAGTGTTCTCAGAAACTGCTTTGTGATGTCTGTGTTCAACTCACAGAGTTTAACATTTCCTTTGAGAGAGCGGTTTAGTAACACTCTCTTTGTAGAATTTGGAAGTGTATACTAAGAGCGCTTTGAGGCCTATGGTAGAAAAGGAATTATCTTTCCATAAAAGCTAGACAGAAGCAATCTCAGAAACTCCTTTGTGATGTCTGCATTCAACTCACCGAGTGGAACATTCCTCTTGATAGAGCAGTTTGGAAACACTCTTCCTGTAGAATCAGCTTGTTTGTATTTGGACCTCCTTGAGGCCTTCGTTGGAAACGGGTTTTCATCTTATAAACCCAGACAGAAGAATTCTCAGAGTCTTCTTTGTGATGTGTGCTTTCAACTCACCGAGATAAAGATTTCTCTTGATAGAGCAATTTGGAAACACTCTTTTTGTAGAATTTGCAAGGGTACATTGAGAGCGCTTTCAGGCCTATGGTAGAAAAGGGAATATCTTTCAATAAAAGGTAGACAGAAGCAATCTCAGAAACTACTTTGTGATGTGTGCATTCAACTCACCGAGTGCAACATTCCTCTTGATAGAGCAGTTTGGAAACATTGTTTCTGTAGAATCTGCAAGTGGATATATGGACCGCTTTGAGGCCTTCGTTGGAAACGGGATTTCTTCCTATAAACCCAGACAGAAGAATTCTCAGAGATTTCTTTGTGATGTGTGAATTCAACTCACAGTGTGGATCCTTCCTTTTGATAGAGCAGTTTTGAAACACTGTTTTTGTAGTATTTCCAAGCGGATATTTGGAACGCCTTGAAGCGTATGGTAGAAAAGGAAATATCTTCCCATAAAACCTAGACAGAACCCATCTCAGAAACGACTTTGTGATGTCTGCATTCAACTCACAGAGTTGAACATTTCTCTTGATAGAGCAGTTTTGAAACCCTCTTTCTGAAGGATCTGCAAGTGGATATTTGGAACTCCTTTGGGTCTTCGTTGGAAACGGGATTTCTTCGTATAAATCCAGACAGAAGAATTCTCCGAAACTTCTTTGGTTGTGTGCATTCAAGTCACAGAGTGGAACCTTCCTTTGGATAGAGCAGTTTGAAACGCTGTGGTTGTAGTATTTCCAAGCGGATATTAGAGCGCCTTGAAGCCTATGGTAGAAAAGGAAATATCTTCCCATAAAACCTAGACGGAAGCAATCTCAGAAACTACTGTGTGATGGCTGCATTCCACACACACGGTGGAACATTTCTCTTGATAGAGCAGTTTTGAAACACTCTTTCTGTAGAATCTGCAAGTGGATAATTGGACCGCCTTGAGGCCTTCGTTGGAAACGGGATTTCTTCATGTTACTCTAGACAGAAGAATTCTCAAACACTACTTTGTGATGTTTGCATTCAAGTCACAGAGTGCAACATTCCTCTTGATAGAGCAGTTGGGAAACACTCCTTTTGTGGAATCTGCAATGGGATATTTGGACTTCTTTGAGGCCTTCGTTGGAAACGGGATTTCTTCGTATGAATACTAGACAGAAGAATTCTCAGAAACTTCCTTGTGATGTGTGCATTCAACTCAGCGAGTGGCACCTTCCCTTGGATACAGCAGTTTTGAAACACTGTTTTTGTAGTATTTCCAAGCGGATATTTAGAGCGCCTTGAAGCCTATGCTAGAAATGGAAATATCTCCCCATAAAACCAAGACAGAAGCAATCTCAGAAACTAATGTGTGATGGCTGCATTCCACACACACGGTGGACCATTTCTCTTGATAGAGCAGTTTTGAAACACTCTTTCTGTAGAATCTGCAAGTGGATAATTGGACGTCCTAGAGGCCTTCATTGGAAATGGGATTTCTTCATCTAAACCTACAGAGAAGAATTCTCAGTAACTTCTTCGGATGTGTGCATTCGACTCACAGAATGGAACATTCCCTTTGATAGAGCAGTTTTGAGACACCGTTTTTGTAGAATTCCCAAGTGGATATTTAGAGCACTTTGAAGTCTCTGCTAGAAAAGGAAACATCTTCATGTAAAAAGTAGATAGAATCGTTCTCAGAAAGTGCTTAGTGACGTGTGTGTTCAACTCACAGAGTTTAACGTTTCTTTTGATAGAGCGTTTCTGAAACACCCTTCTTGTAGTAGCTGCAAGTGGATATTTGGACCTATTTGAGGCCTTCTTTGGAAACGGGATTTCTTCATGTAACTCTAGATTGAAGAATTTTCAGAAACTCCTTTGTGATGTGTGCATTCAATTCAAAGAGTGAAACGTCCCTTTTCACAGAGCAGTTTTGAAACACTGTTTTTGTAGGATTTCCAAGGGGATATTTATAGCGCATTGATCTTATGGCAGAAAAAGAAACATCTTCCTATAAAAACTAGACAGAATAATTCTCAGAATCTGCTTTGCGATGTGTGCGTTCAACCCACAGAGTAAAACTTTTCTTTTGATAGAGCAGTTTTGAAACACTCTTTTTGTAGTATTTGCATGTGTATATTTAGAGCGCATTGAAGCCCAAAGTAGAAAAGGAAATAACTTCACCTAAAACCTAGACAGAAGCAATCTCAGAAACTACTTTGTGATGTGTACATTCAACTCACAGAGTGGAACTTTTCTCTTTATAGAGCAGTGTTGAAACACTCTTTTTGTAGAAACTGCAAGTGGATATTTGGACCAGCTTTGAGGCCTTCGTTGGAAACGGGATTTCTTCCTATAACCCTAGACAGAAGAATTTTCAGAAACCTCATTGTGATGTGTGCGTTCATCTCACAGAGTGGAGTCTTCCGTTTGATAGAGAAGTTTTGAAACCCTGTTCTTGTAGGATTTCCAAGTGGATATTTAGACCACTTTGAAGCCTATGATAGAAAAGGAAACATCTTCATGGAAAACATAGATAGAATCATTCTCAGAAACAACTTTGTGATGTGTGCGTTGAACTCACCGTCTTTAACCTTTCTTTTGGTAGAGAAGTTTTGAAACACTCTCTTTGTAAAGTCTACAAGTGGATATTTTGAGCCCTTGGAGGCATTCTTTGGAAAAGGGAATGTCTTCACATAAAAGGCAGACAGAAGTGTTCTCAGAAACTGCTTTGTGATGTCTGTGTTCAACTCACAGAGTTTAACATTTCCTTTGAGAGAGCGGTTTAGTAACACTCTCTTTGTAGAATTTGGAAGTGTATACTAAGAGCGCTTTGAGGCCTATGGTAGAAAAGGAAATATCTTTCCATAAAAGCTAGACAGAAGCAATCTCAGAAACTCCTTTGTGATGTCTGCATTCAACTCACCGAGTGGAACATTCCTCTTGATAGAGCAGTTTGGAAACACTCTTTCTGTAGAATCAGCTTGTTTGTATTTGGACCTCCTTGAGGCCTTCGTTGGAAACGGGTTTTCATCTTATAAACCCAGACAGAAGAATTCTCAGAGTCTTCTTTGTGATGTGTGCTTTCAACTCACCGAGATAAAGATTTCTCTTGATAGAGCAATTTGGAAACACTCTTTTTGTAGAATTTGCAAGGGTACATTGAGAGCGCTTTCAGGCCTATGGTAGAAAAGGGAATATCTTTCCATAAAAGGTAGACAGAAGCAATCTCAGAAACTACTTTGTGATGTGTGCATTCAACTCACCGAGTGCAACATTCCTCTTGACCGAGCAGTTTGGAAACATTGTTTCTGTAGAATCTGCAAGTGGATATATGGACCTCTTTGAGGCCTTCGTTGGAAACGGGATTTCTTCCTATAAACCCAGACAGAAGAATTCTCAGAGATTTCTTTGTGATGTGTGAATTCAACTCACAGTGTGGATCCTTCCTTTTGATAGAGCAGTTTTGAAACACTGTTTTTGTAGTATTTCCAAGCGGATATTTGGAACGCCTTGAAGCGTATGGTAGAAAAGGAAATATCTTCCCATAAAACCTAGACAGAACCCATCTCAGAAACGACTTTGTGATGTCTGCATTCAACTCACAGAGTTGAACATTTCTCTTGATAGAGCAGTTTTGAAACCCTCTTTCTGAAGGATCTGCAAGTGGATATTTGGAACTCCTTTGGGTCTTCGTTGGAAACGGGATTTCTTCGTATAAATCCAGACAGAAGAATTCTCCGAAACTTCTTTGGTTGTGTGCATTCAAGTCACAGAGTGGAACCTTCCTTTGGATAGAGCAGTTTGAAACGCTGTGGTTGTAGTATTTCCAAGCGGATATTAGAGCGCCTTGAAGCCTATGGTAGAAAAGGAAATATCTTCCCATAAAACCTAGACGGAAGCAATCTCAGAAACTACTGTGTGATGGCTGCATTCCACACACACGGTGGAATATTTCTCTTGATAGAGCAGTTTTGAAACACTCTTTCTGTAGAATCTGCAAGTGGATAATTGGACCGCCTTGAGTCCTTCGTTGGAAACGGGATTTCTTCATGTTACTCTAGACAGAAGAATTCTCAAACACTGCTATGTGATGTTTGCATTCAAGTCACAGAGTGCAACATTCCTCTTGATAGAGCAGTTGGGAAACACTCCTTTTGTAGAATTTGCAATGGGATATTTGGACTTCTTTGAGGCCTTCGTTGGAAACGGGATTTCTTCGTATGAATCTAGACAGAAGAATTCTCAGAAACTTCCTTGTGATGTGTGCATTCAACTCAGCGAGTGGCACCTTCCTTTGGATACAGCAGTTTTGAAACACTGTTTTTGTAGTATTTCCAAGCGGATATTTAGAGCGCCTTGAAGCCTATGCTAGAAATGGAAATATCTCCCCATAAAACCAAGACAGAAGCAATCTCAGAAACTAATGTGTGATGGCTGCATTCCACACACACGGTGGAACATTTCTCTTGATAGAGCAGTTTTGAAACACTCTTTCTGTAGAATCTGCAAGTGGATAATTGGACCTCCTAGAGTCCTTCGTTGGAAATGGGATTTCTTCATCTAAACCTACAGAGAAGAATTCTCAGTAACTTCTTCGGATGTGTGCATTCGACTCACAGAATGGAACATTCCCTTTGATAGAGCAGTTTTGAGACACCGTTTTTGTAGAATTCCCAAGTGGATATTTAGAGCACTTTGAAGTCTCTGCTAGAAAAGGAAACATCTTCATGTAAAAAGTAGATAGAATCGTTCTCAGAAAGTGCTTAGTGACGTGTGTGTTCAACTCACAGAGTTTAACGTTTCTTTTGATAGAGCGTTTCTGAAACACCCTTCTTGTAGTAGCTGCAAGTGGATATTTGGACCTATCCCTTCTTTGGAAACGGGATTTCTTCATGTAACTCTAGTTTGAAGAATTTTCAGAAACTCCTTTGTGATGTGTGCATTCAATTCAAAGAGTGAAACCTCCCTTTTCACAGAGCAGTTTTGAAACACTGTTTTTGTAGGATTTCCAAGGGGATATTTATAGCGCATTGATCCTATGGCAGAAAAAGAAACATCTTCCTATAAAAACTAGACAGAATAATTCTCAGAATCTGCTTTGCGATGTGTGCGTTCAACTCACAGAGTAAAACTTTTCTTTTGATAGAGCAGTTTTGAAACACTCTTTTTGTAGTATTTGCATGTGTATATTTAGAGCGCATTGAAGCCCACAGTAGAAAAGGAAATAACTTCACCTAAAACCTAGACAGAAGCAATCTCAGAAACTACTTTGTGATGTGTACATTCAACTCACAGAGTGGAACTTTCCTCTTTATAGAGCAGTGTTGAAACACTCTTTTTGTAGAAACTGCAAGTGGATATTTGGACCTCTTTGAGGCCTTCGTTGGAAACGGGATTTCTTCCTATAACCCTAGACAGAAGAATTTTCAGAAACCTCATTGTGATGTGTGCGTTCATCTCACAGAGTGGAGTCTTCCGTTTGATAGAGAAGTTTTGAAACCCTGTTCTTATAGGATTTCCAAGTGGATATTTAGACCACTTTGAAGCCTATGATAGAAAAGGAAACATCTTCATGGAAAACATAGATAGAATCATTCTCAGAAACAACTTTGTGATGTGTGCGTTGAACTCACCGTCTTTAACCTTTCTTTTGGTAGAGAAGTTTTGAAACACTCTCTTTGTAAAGTCTACAAGTGGATATTTTGAGCCCTTGGAGGCATTCTTTGGAAAAGGGAATGTCTTCACATAAAAGGCAGACAGAAGTGTTCTCAGAAACTGCTTTGTGATGTCTGTGTTGAACTCACAGAGTTTAACATTTCCTTTGAGAGAGCGGTTTAGTAACACTCTCTTTGTAGAATTTGGAAGTGTATACTAAGAGCGCTTTGAGGCCTATGGTAGAAAAGGAAATATCTTTCCATAAAAGCTAGACAGAAGCAATCTCAGAAACTCCTTTGTGATGTCTGCATTCAACTCACCGAGTGGAACATTCCTCTTGATAGAGCAGTTTGGAAACACTCTTTCTGTAGAATCAGCTTGTTTGTATTTGGACCTCCTTGAGGCCTTCGTTGGAAACGGGTTTTCATCTTATAAACCCAGACAGAAGAATTCTCAGAGTCTTCTTTGTGATGCGTGCTTTCAACTCACCGAGATAAAGATTTCTCTTGATAGAGCAATTTGGAAACACTCTTTTTGTAGAATTTGCAAGGGTACATTGAGAGCGCTTTCAGGCCTATGGTAGAAAAGGGAATATCTTTCCATAAAAGGTAGACAGAAGCAATCTCAGAAACTACTTTGTGATGTGTGCATTCAACTCCCCGAGTGCAACATTCCTCTTGATAGAGCAGTTTGGAAACATTGTTTCTGTAGAATCTGCAAGTGGATATATGGACCGCTTTGAGGCCTTCGTTGGAAACGGGATTTCTTCCTATAAACCCAGACAGAAGAATTCTCAGAGATTTCTTTGTGATGTGTGAATTCAACTCACAGTGTGGATCCTTCCTTTTGATAGAGCAGTTTTGAAACACTGTTTTTGTAGTATTTCCAAGCGGATATTTGGAACGCCTTGAAGCGTATGGTAGAAAAGGAAATATCTTCCCATAAAACCTAGACAGAACCCATCTCAGAAACGACTTTGTGATGTCTGCATTCAACTCACAGAGTTGAACATTTCTCTTGATAGAGCAGTTTTGAAACCCTCTTTCTGAAGGATCTGCAAGTGGATATTTGGAACTCCTTTGTGTCTTCGTTGGAAACGGGATTTCTTCGTATAAATCCAGACAGAAGAATTCTCCGAAACTTCTTTGGTTGTGTGCATTCAAGTCACAGAGTGGAACCTTCCTTTGCATAGAGCAGTTTGAAACGCTGTGGTTGTAGTATTTCCAAGCGGATATTAGAGCGCCTTGAAGCCTATGGTAGAAAAGGAAATATCTTCCCATAAAACCTAGACGGAAGCAATCTCAGAAACTACTGTGTGATGGCTGCATTCCACACACACGGTGGAACATTTCTCTTGATAGAGCAGTTTTGAAACACTCTTTCTGTAGAATCTGCAAGTGGATAATTGGACCGCCTTGAGGCCTTCGTTGGAAACGGGATTTCTTCATGTTACTCTAGACAGAAGAATTCTCAAACACTGCTATGTGATGTTTGCATTCAAGTCACAGAGTGCAACATTCCTCTTGATAGAGCAGTTGGGAAACACTCCTTTTGTAGAATTTGCAATGGGATATTTGGACTTCTTTGAGGCCTTCGTTGGAAACGGGATTTCTTCGTATGAATCTAGACAGAAGAATTCTCAGAAACTTCCTTGTGATGTGTGCATTCAACTCAGCGAGTGGCACCTTCCTTTGGATACAGCAGTTTTGAAACACTGTTTTTGTAGTATTTCCAAGCGGATATTTAGAGCGCCTTGAAGCCTATGCTAGAAATGGAAATATCTCCCCATAAAACCAAGACAGAAGCAATCTCAGAAACTAATGTGTGATGGCTGCATTCCACACACACGGTGGACCATTTCTCTTGATAGAGCAGTTTTGAAACACTCTTTCTGTAGAATCTGCAAGTGGATAATTGGACCTCCTAGAGGCCTTCGTTGGAAACGGGATTTCTTCATCTAAACCTACAGAGAAGAATTCTCAGTAACTTCTTCGGATGTGTGCATTCGACTCACAGAATGGAACATTCCGTTTGATAGAGCAGTTTTGAGACACCGTTTTTGTAGAATTCCCAAGTGGATATTTAGAGCACTTTGAAGTCTCTGCTAGAAAAGGAAACATCTTCATGTAAAAAGTAGATAGAATCGTTCTCAGAAAGTGCTTAGTGACGTGTGTTTTCAACTCACAGAGTTTAACGTTTCTTTTGATAGAGCGTTTCTGAAACACCCTTCTTGTAGTAGCTGCAAGTGGATATTTGGACCTATTTGAGGCCTTCTTTGGAAACGGGATTTCTTCATGTAACTCTAGATTGAAGAATTTTCAGAAACTCCTTTGTGATGTGTGCATTCAATTCAAAGAGTGAAACCTCCCTTTTCACAGAGCAGTTTTGAAACACTGTTTTTGTAGGATTTCCAAGGGGATATTTATAGCGCATTGATCCTATGGCAGAAAAAGAAACATCTTCCTATAAAAACTAGACAGAATAATTCTCAGAATCTGCTTTGCGATGTGTGCGTTCAACCCACAGAGTAAAACTTTTCTTTTGATAGAGCAGTTTTGAAACACTCTTTTTGTAGTATTTGCATGTGTATATTTAGAGCGCATTGAAGCCCACAGTAGAAAAGGAAATAACTTCACCTAAAACCTAGACAGAAGCAATCTCAGAAACTACTTTGTGATGTGTACATTCAACTCACAGAGTGGAACTTTCCTCTTTATAGAGCAGTGTTGAAACACTCTTTTTGTAGAAACTGCAAGTGGATATTTGGACCTCTTTGAGGCCTTCGTTGGAAAGGGGATTACTTCCTATAACCCTAGACAGAAGAATTTTCAGAAACCTCATTGTGATGTGTGCGTTCATCTCACAGAGTGGAGTCTTCCGTTTGATAGAGAAGCTTTGAAACCCTGTTCTTGTAGGATTTCCAGGTGGATATTTAGACCACTTTGAAGCCTATGATAGAAAAGGAAACATCTTCATGGAAAACATAGATAGAGAATCATTCTCAGAAACAACTTTGTGATGTGTGCGTTGAACTCACCGTCTTTAACCTTTCTTTTGGTAGAGAAGTTTTGAAACACTCTCTTTGTAAAGTCTACAAGTGGATATTTTGAGCCCTTGGAGGCATTCTTTGGAAAAGGGAATGTCTTCACATAAAAGGCAGACAGAAGTGTTCTCAGAAACTGCTTTGTGATGTCTGTGTTCAACTCACAGAGTTTAACATTTCCTTTGAGAGAGCGGTTTAGTAACACTCTCTTTGTAGAATTTGGAAGTGTATACTAAGAGCGCTTTGAGGCCTATGGTAGAAAAGGAAATATCTTTCCATAAAAGCTAGACAGAAGCAATCTCAGAAACTCCTTTGTGATGTCTGCATTCAACTCACCGAGTGGAACATTCCTCTTGATAGAGCAGTTTGGAAACACTCTTTCTGTAGAATCAGCTTGTTTGTATTTGGACCTCCTTGAGGCCTTCGTTGGAAACGGGTTTTCATCTTATAAACCCAGACAGAAGAATTCTCAGAGTCTTCTTTGTGATGTGTGCTTTCAACTCACCGAGATAAAGATTTCTCTTGATAGAGCAATTTGGAAACAATCTTTTTGTAGAATTTGCAAGGGTACATTGAGAGCGCTTTCAGGCCTATGGTAGAAAAGGGAATATCTTTCCATAAAAGGTAGACAGAAGCAATCTCAGAAACTACTTTGTGATGTGTGCATTCAACTCACCGAGTGCAACATTCCTCTTGATAGAGCAGTTTGGAAACATTGTTTCTGTAGAATCTGCAAGTGGATATATGGACCGCTTTGAGGCCTTCGTTGGAAACGGGATTTCTTCCTATAAACCCAGACAGAAGAATTCTCAGAGATTTCTTTGTGATGTGTGAATTCAACTCACAGTGTGGATCCTTCCTTTTGATAGAGCAGTTTTGAAACACCGTTTTTGTAGTATTTCCAAGTGGATATTTGGAACGCCTTGAAGCGTATGGTAGAAAAGGAAATATCTTCCCATAAAACCTAGACAGAACCAATCTCAGAAACGACTTTGTGATGTCTGCATTCAACTCACAGAGTTGAACATTTCTCTTGATAGAGCAGTTTTGAAACCCTCTTTCTGAAGGATCTGCAAGTGGATATTTGGAACTCCTTTGGGTCTTCGTTGGAAACGGGATTTCTTCGTATAAATCCAGACAGAAGAATTCTCCGAAACTTCTTTGGTTGTGTGCATTCAAGTCACAGAGTGGAACCTTCCTTTGGATAGAGCAGTTTGAAACGCTGTGGTTGTAGTATTTCCAAGCGGATATTAGAGCGCCTTGAAGCCTATGGTAGAAAAGGAAATATCTTCCCATAAAACCTAGACGGAAGCAATCTCAGAAACTACTGTGTGATGACTGCATTCCACACGCACGGTGGAACATTTCTCTTCATAGAGCAGTTTTGAAACACTCTTTCTGTAGAATCTGCAAGTGGATAATTGGACGGCCTTGAGGCCTTCGTTGGAAACGGGATTTCTTC
Source organism: Homo sapiens (assembly GCF_000001405.40). NCBI lineage: Eukaryota > Metazoa > Chordata > Mammalia > Primates > Hominidae > Homo > Homo sapiens. The sequence goes on from NC_000006.12 coordinate 59,231,266, forward strand.
ATGTTACTCTAGACAGAAGAATTCTCAAACACTGCTATATGATGTTTGCATGCAAGTCAGAGAGTGCAACATTCCTCTTGATAGAGCAGTTGGGAAACACTCCTTTTGTAGAATTTGCAATGGGATATTTGGACTTCTTTGAGGCCTTCGTTGGAAACGGGATTTCTTCGTATGAATCTAGACAGAAGAATTCTCAGAAACTTCCTTGTGATGTGTGCATTCAACTCAGCGAGTGGCACCTTCCTTTGGATACAGCAGTTTTGAAACACTGTTTTTGTAGTATTTCCAAGCGGATATTTAGAGCGCCTTGAAGCCTATGCTAGAAATGGAAATATCTCCCCATAAAACCAAGACAGAAGCAATCTCAGAAACTAATGTGTGATGGCTGCATTCCACACACACGGTGGACCATTTCTCTTGATAGAGCAGTTTTGAAACACTCTTTCTGTAGAATCTGCAAGTGGATAATTGGACCTCCTAGAGGCCTTCGTTGGAAACGGGATTTCTTCATCTAAACCTACAGAGAAGAATTCTCAGTAACTTCTTCGGATGTGTGCATTCGACTCACAGAATGGAACATTCCGTTTGATAGAGCAGTTTTGAGACACCGTTTTTGTAGAATTCCCAAGTGGATATTTAGAGCACTTTGAAGTCTCTGCTAGAAAAGGAAACATCTTCATGTAAAAAGTAGATAGAATCGTTCTCAGAAAGTGCTTAGTGACGTGTGTGTTCAACTCACAGAGTTTAACGTTTCTTTTGATAGAGCGTTTCTGAAACACCCTTCTTGTAGTAGCTGCAAGTGGATATTTGGACCTATTTGAGGCCTTCTTTGGAAACGGGATTTCTTCATGTAACTCTAGATTGAAGAATTTTCAGAAACTCCTTTGTGATGTGTGCATTCAATTCAAAGAGTGAAACCTCCCTTTTCACAGAGCAGTTTTGAAACACTGTTTTTGTAGGATTTCCAAGGGGATATTTATAGCGCATTGAGCCTATGGCAGAAAAAGAAACATCTTCCTATAAAAACTAGACAGAATAATTCTCAGAATCTGCTTTGCGATGTGTGCGTTCAACCCACAGAGTAAAACTTTTCTTTTGATAGAGCAGTTTTGAAACACTCTTTTTGTAGTATTTGCATGTGTATATTTAGAGCGCATTGAAGCCCAAAGTAGAAAAGGAAATAACTTCACCTAAAACCTAGACAGAAGCAATCTCAGAAACTACTTTGTGATGTGTACATTCAACTCACAGAGTGGAACTTTCCTCTTTATAGAGCAGTGTTGAAACACTCTTTTTGTAGAAACTGCAAGTGGATATTTGGACCTCTTTGAGGCCTTCGTTGGAAACGGGATTTCTTCCTATAACCCTAGACAGAAGAATTTTCAGAAACCTCATTGTGATGTGTGCGTTCATCTCACAGAGTGGAGTCTTCCGTTTGATAGAGAAGTTTTGAAACCCTGTTCTTGTAGGATTTCCAAGTGGATATTTAGACCACTTTGAAGCCTATGATAGAAAAGGAAACATCTTCATGGAAAACATAGATAGAATCATTCTCAGAAACAACTTTGTGATGTGTGCGTTGAACTCACCGTCTTTAACCTTTCTTTTGGTAGAGAAGTTTTGAAACACTCTCTTTGTAAAGTCTACAAGTGGATATTTTGAGCCCTTGGAGGCATTCTTTGGAAAAGGGAATGTCTTCACATAAAAGGCAGACAGAAGTGTTCTCAGGAAACTGCTTTGTGATGTCTGTGTTCAACTCACAGAGTTTAACATTTCCTTTGAGAGAGCGGTTTAGTAACACTCTCTTTGTAGAATTTGGAAGTGTATACTAAGAGCGCTTTGAGGCCTATGGTAGAAAAGGAAATATCTTTCCATAAAAGCTAGACAGAAGCAATCTCAGAAACTCCTTTGTGATGTCTGCATTCAACTCACCGAGTGGAACATTCCTCTTGATAGAGCAGTTTGGAAACACTCTTTCTGTAGAATCAGCTTGTTTGTATTTGGACCTCCTTGAGGCCTTCGTTGGAAACGGGTTTTCATCTTATAAACCCAGACAGAAGAATTCTCAGAGTCTTCTTTGTGATGTGTGCTTTCAACTCACCGAGATAAAGATTTCTCTTGATAGAGCAATTTGGAAACACTCTTTTTGTAGAATTTGCAAGGGTACATTGAGAGCGCTTTCAGGCCTATGGTAGAAAAGGGAATATCTTTCCATAAAAGGTAGACAGAAGCAATCTCAGAAACTACTTTGTGATGTGTGCATTCAACTCACCGAGTGCAACATTCCTCTTGACCGAGCAGTTTGGAAACATTGTTTCTGTAGAATCTGCAAGTGGATATTTGGACCTCTTTGAGGCCTTCGTTGGAAACGGGATTTCTTCCTATAAACCCAGACAGAAGAATTCTCAGAGACTTCTTTGTGATGTGTGAATTCAACTCACAGTGTGGATCCTTCCTTTTGATAGAGCAGTTTTGAAACACCGTTTTTGTAGTATTTCCAAGCGGATATTTGGAACGCCTTGAAGCGTATGGTAGAAAAGGAAATATCTTCCCATAAAACCTAGACAGAACCAATCTCAGAAACGACTTTGTGATGTCTGCATTCAACTCACAGAGTTGAACATTTCTCTTGATAGAGCAGTTTTGAAACCCTCTTTCTGAAGGATCTGCAAGTGGATATTTGGAACTCCTTTGGGTCTTCGTTGGAAACGGGATTTCTTCGTATAAATCTAGACAGAAGAATTCTCCGAAACTTCTTTGGTTGTGTGCATTCAAGTCACAGAGTGGAACCTTCCTTTGGATAGAGCAGTTTGAAACGCTGTGGTTGTAGTATTTCCAAGCGGATATTAGAGCGCGTTGAAGCCTATGGTAGAAAAGGAAATATCTTCCCATAAAACCTAGACGGAAGCAATCTCAGAAACTACTTTGTGATGGCTGCATTCCACACACACGGTGGAACATTTCTCTTGATAGAGCAGTTTTGAAACACTCTTTCTGTAGAATCTGCAAGTGGATAATTGGACCGCCTTGAGGCCTTCGTTGGAAACGGGATTTCTTCATGTTACTCTAGACAGAAGAATTCTCAAACACTGCTATGTGATGTTTGCATTCAAGTCACAGAGTGCAACATTCCTCTTGATAGAGTAGTTGGGAAACACTCCTTTTGTAGAATTTGCAATGGGATATTTGGACTTCTTTGAGGCCTTCGTTGGAAACGGGATTTCTTCGTATGAATCTAGACAGAAGAATTCTCAGAAACTTCCTTGTGATGTGTGCATTCAACTCAGCGAGTGGCACCTTCCTTTGGATACAGCAGTTTTGAAACACTGTTTTTGTAGTATTTCCAAGCGGATATTTAGAGCGCCTTGAAGCCTATGCTAGAAATGGAAATATCTCCCCATAAAACCAAGACAGAAGCAATCTCAGAAACTAATGTGTGATGGCTGCATTCCACACACACGGTGGACCATTTCTCTTGATAGAGCAGTTTTGAAACACTCTTTCTGTAGAATCTGCAAGTGGATAATTGGACCTCCTAGAGGCCTTCGTTGGAAACGGGATTTCTTCATCTAAACCTACAGAGAAGAATTCTCAGTAACTTCTTCGGATGTGTGCATTCGACTCACAGAATGGAACATTCCCTTTGATAGAGCAGTTTTGAGACACCGTTTTTGTAGAATTCCCAAGTGGATATTTAGAGCACTTTGAAGTCTCTGCTAGAAAAGGAAACATCTTCATGTAAAAAGTAGATAGAATCGTTCTCAGAAAGTGCTTAGTGACGTGTGCGTTCAACTCACAGAGTTTAACGTTTCTTTTGATAGAGCGTTTCTGAAACACCCTTCTTGTAGTAGCTGCAAGTGGATATTTGGACCTATTTGAGGCCTTCTTTGGAAACGGGATTTCTTCATGTAACTCTAGATTGAAGAATTTTCAGAAACTCCTTTGTGATGTGTGCATTCAATTCAAAGAGTGAAACCTCCCTTTTCACAGAGCAGTTTTGAAACACTGTTTTTGTAGGATTTCCAAGGGGATATTTATAGCGCATTGAGCCTATGGCAGAAAAAGAAACATCTTCCTATAAAAACTAGACAGAATAATTCTCAGAATCTGCTTTGCGATGTGTGCGTTCAACTCACAGAGTAAAACTTTTCTTTTGATAGAGCAGTTTTGAAACACTCTTTTTGTAGTATTTGCATGTGTATATTTAGAGCGCATTGAAGCCCACAGTAGAAAAGGAAATAACTTCACCTAAAACCTAGACAGAAGCAATCTCAGAAACTACTTTGTGATGTGTACATTCAACTCACAGAGTGGAACTTTTCTCTTTATAGAGCAGTGTTGAAACACTCTTTTTGTAGAAACTGCAAGTGGATATTTGGACCTCTTTGAGGCCTTCGTTGGAAACGGGATTTCTTCCTATAACCCTAGACAGAAGAATTTTCAGAAACCTCATTGTGATGTGTGCGTTCATCTCACAGAGTGGAGTCTTCCGTTTGATAGAGAAGTTTTGAAACCCTGTTCTTGTAGGATTTCCAAGTGGATATTTAGACCACTTTGAAGCCTATGATAGAAAAGGAAACATCTTCATGGAAAACATAGATAGAATCATTCTCAGAAACAACTTTGTGATGTGTGCGTTGAACTCACCGTCTTTAACCTTTCTTTTGGTAGAGAAGTTTTGAAACACTCTCTTTGTAAAGTCTACAAGTGGATATTTTGAGCCCTTGGAGGCATTCTTTGGAAAAGGGAATGTCTTCACATAAAAGGCAGACAGAAGTGTTCTCAGAAACTGCTTTGTGATGTCTGTGTTCAACTCACAGAGTTTAACATTTCCTTTGAGAGAGCGGTTTAGTAACACTCTCTTTGTAGAATTTGGAAGTGTATACTAAGAGCGCTTTGAGGCCTATGGTAGAAAAGGAAATATCTTTCCATAAAAGCTAGACAGAAGCAATCTCAGAAACTCCTTTGTGATGTCTGCATTCAACTCACCGAGTGGAACATTCCTCTTGATAGAGCAGTTTGGAAACACTCTTTCTGTAGAATCAGCTTGTTTGTATTTGGACCTCCTTGAGGCCTTCGTTGGAAACGGGTTTTCATCTTATAAACCCAGACAGAAGAATTCTCAGAGTCTTCTTTGTGATGTGTGCTTTCAACTCACCGAGATAAAGATTTCTCTTGATAGAGCAATTTGGAAACACTCTTTTTGTAGAATTTGCAAGGGTACATTGAGAGCGCTTTCAGGCCTATGGTAGAAAAGGGAATATCTTTCCATAAAAGGTAGACAGAAGCAATCTCAGAAACTACTTTGTCATGTGTGCATTCAACTCACCGAGTGCAACATTCCTCTTGACCGAGCAGTTTGGAAACATTGTTTCTGTAGAAACTGCAAGTGGATATTTGGACCTCCTTTGAGGCCTTCGTTGGAAACGGGATTTCTTCCTATAAACCCAGACAGAAGAATTCTCAGCAGCATTTCTTTGTGATGTGTGAATTCAACTCACAGTGTGGATACTTCCTTTTGATAGAGCAGTTTTGAAACACCGTTTTTGTAGTATTTCCAAGCGGATATTTGGAACGCCTTGAAGCGTATGGTAGAAAAGGAAATATCTTCCCATAAAACCTAGACAGAACCCATCTCAGAAACGACTTTGTGATGTCTGCATTCAACTCACAGAGTTGAACATTTCTCTTGATAGAGCAGTTTTGAAACCCTCTTTCTGAAGGATCTGCAAGTGGATATTTGGAACTCCTTTGGGTCTTCGTTGGAAACGGGATTTCTTCGTATAAATCCAGACAGAAGAATTCTCCGAAACTTCTTTGGTTGTGTGCATTCAAGTCACAGAGTGGAACCTTCCTTTGGATAGAGCAGTTTGAAACGCTGTGGTTGTAGTATTTCCAAGCGGATATTAGAGCGCCTTGAGGCCTATGGTAGAAAAGGAAATATCTTCCCATAAAACCTAGACGGAAGCAATCTCAGAAACTACTGTGTGATGGCTGCATTCCACACACACGGTGGAACATTTCTCTTGATAGAGCAGTTTTGAAACACTCTTTCTGTAGAATCTGCAAGTGGATAATTGGACCGCCTTGAGGCCTTCGTTGGAAACGGGATTTCTTCATGTTACTCTAGACAGAAGAATTCTCAAACACTGCTGTGTGATGTTTGCATGCAAGTCACAGAGTGCAACATTCCTCTTGATAGAGCAGTTGGGAAACACTCCTTTTGTAGAATTTGCAATGGGATATTTGGACTTCTTTGAGGCCTTCGTTGGAAACGGGATTTCTTCGTATGAATCTAGACAGAAGAATTCTCAGAAACTTCCTTGTGATGTGTGCATTCAACTCAGCGAGTGGCACCTTCCTTTGGATACAGCAGTTTTGAAACACTGTTTTTGTAGTATTTCCAAGCGGATATTTAGAGCGCCTTGAAGCCTATGCTAGAAATGGAAATATCTCCCCATAAAACCAAGACAGAAGCAATCTCAGAAACTAATGTGTGATGGCTGCATTCCACACACACGGTGGACCATTTCTCTTGATAGAGCAGTTTTGAAACACTCTTTCTGTAGAATCTGCAAGTGGATAATTGGACCTCCTAGAGGCCTTCGTTGGAAACGGGATTTCTTCATCTAAACCTACAGAGAAGAATTCTCAGTAACTTCTTCGGATGTGTGCATTCGACTCACAGAATGGAACATTCCCTTTGATAGAGCAGTTTTGAGACACCGTTTTTGTAGAATTCCCAAGTGGATATTTAGAGCACTTTGAAGTCTCTGCTAGAAAAGGAAACATCTTCATGTAAAAAGTAGATAGAATCGTTCTCAGAAAGTGCTTAGTGACGTGTGCGTTCAACTCACAGAGTTTAACGTTTCTTTTGATAGAGCGTTTCTGAAACACCCTTCTTGTAGTAGCTGCAAGTGGATATTTGGACCTATTTGAGGCCTTCTTTGGAAACGGGATTTCTTCATGTAACTCTAGATTGAAGAATTTTCAGAAACTCCTTTGTGATGTGTGCATTCAATTCAAAGAGTGAAACCTCCCTTTTCACAGAGCAGTTTTGAAACACTGTTTTTGTAGGACTTCCAAGGGGATATTTATAGCGCATTGAGCCTATGGCAGAAAAAGAAACATCTTCCTATAAAAACTAGACAGAATAATTCTCAGAATCTGCTTTGCGATGTGTGCGTTCAACCCACAGAGTAAAACTTTTCTTTTGATAGAGCAGTTTTGAAACACTCTTTTTGTAGTATTTGCATGTGTATATTTAGAGCGCATTGAAGCCCAAAGTAGAAAAGGAAATAACTTCACCTAAAACCTAGACAGAAGCAATCTCAGAAACTACTTTGTGATGTGTACATTCAACTCACAGAGTGGAACTTTCCTCTTTATAGAGCAGTGTTGAAACACTCTTTTTGTAGAAACTGCAAGTGGATATTTGGACCTCTTTCAGGCCTTCGTTGGAAACGGGATTTCTTCCTATAACCCTAGACAGAAGAATTTTCAGAAACCTCATTGTGATGTGTGCGTTCATCTCACAGAGTGGAGTCTTCCGTTTGATAGAGAAGTTTTGAAACCCTGTTCTTGTAGGATTTCCAAGTGGATATTTAGACCACTTTGAAGCCTATGATAGAAAAGGAAACATCTTCATGGAAAACATAGATAGAATCATTCTCAGAAACAACTTTGTGATGTGTGCGTTGAACTCACCGTCTTTAACCTTTCTTTTGGTAGAGAAGTTTTGAAACACTCTCTTTGTAAAGTCTACAAGTGGATATTTTGAGCCCTTGGAGGCATTCTTTGGAAAAGGGAATGTCTTCACATAAAAGGCAGACAGAAGTGTTCTCAGAAACTGCTTTGTGATGTCTGTGTTCAACTCACAGAGTTTAACATTTCCTTTGAGAGAGCGGTTTAGTAACACTCTCTTTGTAGAATTTGGAAGTGTATACTAAGAGCGCTTTGAGGCCTATGGTAGAAAAGGAAATATCTTTCCATAAAAGCTAGACAGAAGCAATCTCAGAAACTCCTTTGTGATGTCTGCATTCAACTCACCGAGTGGAACATTCCTCTTGATAGAGCAGTTTGGAAACACTCTTTCTGTAGAATCAGCTTGTTTGTATTTGGACCTCCTTGAGGCCTTCGTTGGAAACGGGTTTTCATCTTATAAACCCAGACAGAAGAATTCTCAGAGTCTTCTTTGTGATGTGTGCTTTCAACTCACCGAGATAAAGATTTCTCTTGATAGAGCAATTTGGAAACACTCTTTTTGTAGAATTTGCAAGGGTACATTGAGAGCGCTTTCAGGCCTATGGTAGAAAAGGGAATATCTTTCCATAAAAGGTAGACAGAAGCAATCTCAGAAACTACTTTGTGATGTGTGCATTCAACTCACCGAGTGCAACATTCCTCTTGACTGAGCAGTTTGGAAACATTGTTTCTGTAGAATCTGCAAGTGGATATTTGGACCTCTTTGAGGCCTTCGTTGGAAACGGGATTTCTTCCTATAAACCCAGACAGAAGAATTCTCAGAGACTTCTTTGTGATGTGTGAATTCAACTCACAGTGTGGATCCTTCCTTTTGATAGAGCAGTTTTGAAACACTGTTTTTGTAGTATTTCCAAGCGGATATTTGGAACGCCTTGAAGCGTATGGTAGAAAAGGAAATATCTTCCCATAAAACCTAGACAGAACCCATCTCAGAAACGACTTTGTGATGTCTGCATTCAACTCACAGAGTTGAACATTTCTCTTGATAGAGCAGTTTTGAAACCCTCTTTCTGAAGGATCTGCAAGTGGATATTTGGAACTCCTTTGGGTCTTCGTTGGAAACGGGATTTCTTCGTATAAATCCAGACAGAAGAATTCTCCGAAACTTCTTTGGTTGTGTGCATTCAAGTCACAGAGTGGTACCTTCCTTTGGATAGAGCAGTTTGAAACGCTGTGGTTGTAGTATTTCCAAGCGGATATTAGAGCGCCTTGAAGCCTATGGTAGAAAAGGAAATATCTTCCCATAAAACCTAGACGGAAGCAATCTCAGAAACTACTGTGTGATGGCTGCATTCCACACACACGGTGGAACATTTCTCTTGATAGAGCAGTTTTGAAACACTCTTTCTGTAGAATCTGCAAGTGGATAATTGGACCGCCTTGAGGCCTTCGTTGGAAACGGGATTTCTTCATGTTACTCTAGACAGAAGAATTCTCAAACACTGCTATGTGATGTTTGCATTCAAGTCACAGAGTGCAACATTCCTCTTGATAGAGCAGTTGGGAAACACTCCTTTTGTAGAATTTGCAATGGGATATTTGGACTTCTTTGAGGCCTTCGTTGGAAACGGGATTTCTTCGTATGAATCTAGACAGAAGAATTCTCAGAAACTTCCTTGTGATGTGTGCATTCAACTCAGCGAGTGGCACCTTCCTTTGGATACAGCAGTTTTGAAACACTGTTTTTGTAGTATTTCCAAGCGGATATTTAGAGCGCCTTGAAGCCTATGCTAGAAATGGAAATATCTCCCCATAAAACCAAGACAGAAGCAATCTCAGAAACTAATGTGTGATGGCTGCATTCCACACACACGGTGGACCATTTCTCTTGATAGAGCAGTTTTGAAACACTCTTTCTGTAGAATCTGCAAGTGGATAATTGGACCTCCTAGAGGCCTTCGTTGGAAATGGGATTTCTTCATCTAAACCTACAGAGAAGAATTCTCAGTAACTTCTTCGGATGTGTGCATTCGACTCACAGAATGGAACATTCCCTTTGGTAGAGCAGTTTTGAGACACCGTTTTTGTAGAATTCCCAAGTGGATATTTAGAGCACTTTGAAGTCTCTGCTAGAAAAGGAAACATCTTCATGTAAAAAGTAGATAGAATCGTTCTCAGAAAGTGCTTAGTGACGTGTGCGTTCAACTCACAGAGTTTAACGTTTCTTTTGATAGAGCGTTTCTGAAACACCCTTCTTGTAGTAGCTGCAAGTGGATATTTGGACCTATTTGAGGCCTTCTTTGGAAACGGGATTTCTTCATGTAACTCTAGATTGAAGAATTTTCAGAAACTCCTTTGTGATGTGTGCATTCAATTCAAAGAGTGAAACCTCCCTTTTCACAGAGCAGTTTTGAAACACTGTTTTTGTAGGACTTCCAAGGGGATATTTATAGCGCATTGATCCTATGGCAGAAAAAGAAACATCTTCCTATAAAAACTAGACAGAATAATTCTCAGAATCTGCTTTGCGATGTGTGCGTTCAACCCACAGAGTAAAACTTTTCTTTTGATAGAGCAGTTTTGAAACACTCTTTTTGTAGTATTTGCATGTGTATATTTAGAGCGCATTGAAGCCCACAGTAGAAAAGGAAATAACTTCACCTAAAACCTAGACAGAAGCAATCTCAGAAACTACTTTGTGATGTGTACATTCAACTCACAGAGTGGAACTTTCCTCTTTATAGAGCAGTGTTGAAACACTCTTTTTGTAGAAACTGCAAGTGGATATTTGGACCTCTTTGAGGCCTTCGTTGGAAACGGGATTTCTTCCTATAACCCTAGACAGAAGAATTTTCAGAAACCTCATTGTGATGTGTGCGTTCATCTCACAGAGTGGAGTCTTCCGTTTGATAGAGAAGTTTTGAAACCCTGTTCTTGTAGGATTTCCAAGTGGATATTTAGACCACTTTGAAGCCTATGATAGAAAAGGAAACATCTTCATGGAAAACATAGATAGAATCATTCTCAGAAACAACTTTGTGATGTGTGCGTTGAACTCACCGTCTTTAACCTTTCTTTTGGTAGAGAAGTTTTGAAACACTCTCTTTGTAAAGTCTACAAGTGGATATTTTGAGCCCTTGGAGGCATTCTTTGGAAAAGGGAATGTCTTCACATAAAAGGCAGACAGAAGTGTTCTCAGAAACTGCTTTGTGATGTCTGTGTTCAACTCACAGAGTTTAACATTTCCTTTGAGAGAGCGGTTTAGTAACACTCTCTTTGTAGAATTTGGAAGTGTATACTAAGAGCGCTTTGAGGCCTATGGTAGAAAAGGAAATATCTTTCCATAAAAGCTAGACAGAAGCAATCTCAGAAACTCCTTTGTGATGTCTGCATTCAACTCACCGAGTGGAACATTCCCTTGATAGAGCAGTTTGGAAACACTCTTTCTGTAGAATCAGCTTGTTTGTATTTGGACCTCCTTGAGGCCTTCGTTGGAAACGGGTTTTCATCTTATAAACCCAGACAGAAGAATTCTCAGAGTCTTCTTTGTGATGTGTGCTTTCAACTCACCGAGATAAAGATTTCTCTTGATAGAGCAATTTGGAAACACTCTTTTTGTAGAATTTGCAAGGGTACATTGAGAGCGCTTTCAGGCCTATGGTAGAAAAGGGAATATCTTTCCATAAAAGGTAGACAGAAGCAATCTCAGAAACTACTTTGTGATGTGTGCATTCAACTCACCGAGTGCAACATTCCTCTTGACCGAGCAGTTTGGAAACATTGTTTCTGTAGAATCTGCAAGTGGATATTTGGACCTCTTTGAGGCCTTCGTTGGAAACGGGATTTCTTCCTATAAACCCAGACAGAAGAATTCTCAGAGACTTCTTTGTGATGTGTGAATTCAACTCACAGTGTGGATCCTTCCTTTTGATAGAGCAGTTTTGAAACACTGTTTTTGTAGTATTTCCAAGCGGATATTTGGAACGCCTTGAAGCGTATGGTAGAAAAGGAAATATCTTCCCATAAAACCTAGACAGAACCAATCTCAGAAACGACTTTGTGATGTCTGCATTGAACTCACAGAGTTGAACATTTCTCTTGATAGAGCAGTTTTGAAACCCTCTTTCTGAAGGATCTGCAAGTGGATATTTGGAACTCCTTTGGGTCTTCGTTGGAAACGGGATTTCTTCGTATAAATCTAGACAGAAGAATTCTCCGAAACTTCTTTGGTTGTGTGCATTCAAGTCACAGAGTGGAACCTTCCTTTGGATAGAGCAGTTTGAAACGCTGTGGTTGTAGTATTTCCAAGCGGATATTAGAGCGCCTTGAGGCCTATGGTAGAAAAGGAAATATCTTCCCATAAAACCTAGACGGAAGCAATCTCAGAAACTACTGTGTGATGGCTGCATTCCACACACACGGTGGAACATTTCTCTTGATAGAGCAGTTTTGAAACACTCTTTCTGTAGAATCTGCAAGTGGATAATTGGACCGCCTTGAGGCCTTCGTTGGAAACGGGATTTCTTCATGTTACTCTAGACAGAAGAATTCTCAAACACTGCTATGTGATGTTTGCATTCAAGTCACAGAGTGCAACATTCCTCTTGATAGAGCAGTTGGGAAACACTCCTTTTGTAGAATTTGCAATGGGATATTTGGACTTCTTTGAGGCCTTCGTTGGAAACGGGATTTCTTCGTATGAATCTAGACAGAAGAATTCTCAGAAACTTTCCTTGTGATGTGTGCATTCAACTCAGCGAGTGGCACCTTCCTTTGGATACAGCAGTTTTGAAACACTGTTTTTGTAGTATTTCCAAGCGGATATTTAGAGCGCCTTGAAGCCTATGCTAGAAATGGAAATATCTCCCCATAAAACCAAGACAGAAGCAATCTCAGAAACTAATGTGTGATGGCTGCATTCCACACACACGGTGGACCATTTCTCTTGATAGAGCAGTTTTGAAACACTCTTTCTGTAGAATCTGCAAGTGGATAATTGGACCTCCTAGAGGCCTTCGTTGGAAACGGGATTTCTTCATCTAAACCTACAGAGAAGAATTCTCAGTAACTTCTTCGGATGTGTGCATTCGACTCACAGAATGGAACATTCCCTTTGGTAGAGCAGTTTTGAGACACCGTTTTTGTAGAATTCCCAAGTGGATATTTAGAGCACTTTGAAGTCTCTGCTAGAAAAGGAAACATCTTCATGTAAAAAGTAGATAGAATCGTTCTCAGAAAGTGCTTAGTGACGTGTGCGTTCAACTCACAGAGTTTAACGTTTCTTTTGATAGAGCGTTTCTGAAACACCCTTCTTGTAGTAGCTGCAAGTGGATATTTGGACCTATTTGAGGCCTTCTTTGGAAACGGGATTTCTTCATGTAACTCTAGATTGAAGAATTTTCAGAAACTCCTTTGTGATGTGTGCATTCAATTCAAAGAGTGAAACCTCCCTTTTCACAGAGCAGTTTTGAAACACTGTTTTTGTAGGATTTCCAAGGGGATATTTATAGCGCATTGAGCCTATGGCAGAAAAAGAAACATCTTCCTATAAAAACTAGACAGAATAATTCTCAGAATCTGCTTTGCGATGTGTGCGTTCAACTCACAGAGTAAAACTTTTCTTTTGATAGAGCAGTTTTGAAACACTCTTTTTGTAGTATTTGCATGTGTATATTGAGAGCGCATTGAAGCCCACAGTAGAAAAGGAAATAACTTCACCTAAAACCTAGACAGAAGCAATCTCAGAAACTACTTTGTGATGTGTACATTCAACTCACAGAGTGGAACTTTCCTCTTTATAGAGCAGTGTTGAAACACTCTTTTTGTAGAAACTGCAAGTGGATATTTGGACCTCTTTGAGGCCTTCGTTGGAAACGGGATTTCTTCCTATAACCCTAGACAGAAGAATTTTCAGAAACCTCATTGTGATGTGTGCGTTCATCTCACAGAGTGGAGTCTTCCGTTTGATAGAGAAGTTTTGAAACCCTGTTCTTGTAGGATTTCCAAGTGGATATTTAGACCACTTTGAAGCCTATGATAGAAAAGGAAACATCTTCATGGAAAACATAGATAGAATCATTCTCAGAAACAACTTTGTGATGTGTGCGTTGAACTCACCGTCTTTAACCTTTCTTTTGGTAGAGAAGTTTTGAAACACTCTCTTTGTAAAGTCTACAAGTGGATATTTTGAGCCCTTGGAGGCATTCTTTGGAAAAGGGAATGTCTTCACATAAAAGGCAGACAGAAGTGTTCTCAGAAACTGCTTTGTGATGTCTGTGTTCAACTCACAGAGTTTAACATTTCCTTTGAGAGAGCGGTTTAGTAACACTCTCTTTGTAGAATTTGGAAGTGTATACTAAGAGCGCTTTGAGGCCTATGGTAGAAAAGGAAATATCTTTCCATAAAAGCTAGACAGAAGCAATCTCAGAAACTCTTTGTGATGTCTGCATTCAACTCACCGAGTGGAACATTCCTCTTGATAGAGCAGTTTGGAAACACTCTTTCTGTAGAATCAGCTTGTTTGTATTTGGACCTCCTTGAGGCCTTCGTTGGAAACGGGTTTTCATCTTATAAACCCAGACAGAAGAATTCTCAGAGTCTTCTTTGTGATGTGTGCTTTCAACTCACCGAGATAAAGATTTCTCTTGATAGAGCAATTTGGAAACACTCTTTTTGTAGAATTTGCAAGGGTACATTGAGAGCGCTTTCAGGCCTATGGTAGAAAAGGGAATATCTTTCCATAAAAGGTAGACAGAAGCAATCTCAGAAACTACTTTGTGATGTGTGCATTCAACTCACCGAGTGCAACATTCCTCTTGACCGAGCAGTTTGGAAACATTGTTTCTGTAGAATCTGCAAGTGGATATATGGACCGCTTTGAGGCCTTCGTTGGAAACGGGATTTCTTCCTATAAACCCAGACAGAAGAATTCTCAGAGATTTCTTTGTGATGTGTGAATTCAACTCACAGTGTGGATCCTTCCTTTTGATAGAGCAGTTTTGAAACACTGTTTTTGTAGTATTTCCAAGCGGATATTTGGAACGCCTTGAAGCGTATGGTAGAAAAGGAAATATCTTCCCATAAAACCTAGACAGAACCCATCTCAGAAACGACTTTGTGATGTCTGCATTCAACTCACAGAGTTGAACATTTCTCTTGATAGAGCAGTTTTGAAACCCTCTTTCTGAAGGATCTGCAAGTGGATATTTGGAACTCCTTTGGGTCTTCGTTGGAAACGGGATTTCTTCGTATAAATCCAGACAGAAGAATTCTCCGAAACTTCTTTGGTTGTGTGCATTCAAGTCACAGAGTGGAACCTTCCTTTGGATAGAGCAGTTTGAAACGCTGTGGTTGTAGTATTTCCAAGCGGATATTAGAGCGCCTTGAAGCCTATGGTAGAAAAGGAAATATCTTCCCATAAAACCTAGACGGAAGCAATCTCAGAAACTACTGTGTGATGGCTGCATTCCACACACACGGTGGAACATTTCTCTTGATAGAGCAGTTTTGAAACACTCTTTCTGTAGAATCTGCAAGTGGATAATTGGACCGCCTTGAGGCCTTCGTTGGAAACGGGATTTCTTCATGTTACTCTAGACAGAAGAATTCTCAAACACTGCTATGTGATGTTTGCATTCAAGTCACAGAGTGCAACATTCCTCTTGATAGAGCAGTTGGGAAACACTCCTTTTGTAGAATTTGCAATGGGATATTTGGACTTCTTTGAGGCCTTCGTTGGAAACGGGATTTCTTCGTATGAATCTAGACAGAAGAATTCTCAGAAACTTCCTTGTGATGTGTGCATTCAACTCAGCGAGTGGCACCTTCCTTTGGATACAGCAGTTTTGAAACACTGTTTTTGTAGTATTTCCAAGCGGATATTTAGAGCGCCTTGAAGCCTATGCTAGAAATGGAAATATCTCCCCATAAAACCAAGACAGAAGCAATCTCAGAAACTAATGTGTGATGGCTGCATTCCACACACACGGTGGACCATTTCTCTTGATAGAGCAGTTTTGAAACACTCTTTCTGTAGAATCTGCAAGTGGATAATTGGAACTCCTAGAAGCCTTCGTTGGAAATGGGATTTCTTCATCTAAACCTACAGAGAAGAATTCTCAGTAACTTCTTCGGATGTGTGCATTCGACTCACAGAATGGAACATTCCGTTTGATAGAGCAGTTTTGAGACACCGTTTTTGTAGAATTCCCAAGTGGATATTTAGAGCACTTTGAAGTCTCTGCTAGAAAAGGAAACATCTTCATGTAAAAAGTAGATAGAATCGTTCTCAGAAAGTGCTTAGTGACGTGTGTGTTCAACTCACAGAGTTTAACGTTTCTTTTGATAGAGCGTTTCTGAAACACCCTTCTTGTAGTAGCTGCAAGTGGATATTTGGACCTATTTGAGGCCTTCTTTGGAAACGGGATTTCTTCATGTAACTCTAGATTGAAGAATTTTCAGAAACTCCTTTGTGATGTGTGCATTCAATTCAAAGAGTGAAACCTCCCTTTTCACAGAGCAGTTTTGAAACACTGTTTTTGTAGGACTTCCAAGGGGATATTTATAGCGCATTGATCCTATGGCAGAAAAAGAAACATCTTCCTATAAAAACTAGACAGAATAATTCTCAGAATCTGCTTTGCGATGTGTGCGTTCAACTCACAGAGTAAAACTTTTCTTTTGATAGAGCAGTTTTGAAACACTCTTTTTGTAGTATTTGCATGTGTATATTTAGAGCGCATTGAAGCCCACAGTAGAAAAGGAAATAACTTCACCTAAAACCTAGACAGAAGCAATCTCAGAAACTACTTTGTGATGTGTACATTCAACTCACAGAGTGGAACTTTCCTCTTTATAGAGCAGTGTTGAAACACTCTTTTTGTAGAAACTGCAAGTGGATATTTGGACCTCTTTGAGGCCTTCGTTGGAAACGGGATTTCTTCCTATAACCCTAGACAGGAAGAATTTTCAGAAACCTCATTGTGATGTGTGCGTTCATCTCACAGAGTGGAGTCTTCCGTTTGATAGAGAAGTTTTGAAACCCTGTTCTTGTAGGATTTCCAAGTGGATATTTAGACCACTTTGAAGCCTATGATAGAAAAGGAAACATCTTCATGGAAAACATAGATAGAATCATTCTCAGAAACAACTTTGTGATGTGTGCGTTGAACTCACCGTCTTTAACTTTTCTTTTGGTAGAGAAGTTTTGAAACACTCTCTTTGTAAAGTCTACAAGTGGATATTTTGAGCCCTTGGAGGCATTCTTTGGAAAAGGGAATGTCTTCACATAAAAGGCAGACAGAAGTGTTCTCAGAAACTGCTTTGTGATGTCTGTGTTCAACTCACAGAGTTTAACATTTCCTTTGAGAGAGCGGTTTAGTAACACTCTCTTTGTAGAATTTGGAAGTGTATACTAAGAGCGCTTTGAGGCCTATGGTAGAAAAGGAAATATCTTTCCATAAAAGCTAGACACAAGCAATCTCAGAAACTCCTTTGTGATGTCTGCATTCAACTCACCGAGTGGAACATTCCTCTTGATAGAGCAGTTTGGAAACACTCTTTCTGTAGAATCAGCTTGTTTGTATTTGGACCTCCTTGAGGCCTTCGTTGGAAACGGGTTTTCATCTTATAAACCCAGACAGAAGAATTCTCAGAGTCTTCTTTGTGATGTGTGCTTTCAACTCACCGAGATAAAGATTTCTCTTGATAGAGCAATTTGGAAACACTCTTTTTGTAGAATTTGCAAGGGTACATTGAGAGCGCTTTCAGGCCTATGGTAGAAAAGGGAATATCTTTCCATAAAAGGTAGACAGAAGCAATCTCAGAAACTACTTTGTGATGTGTGCATTCAACTCACCGAGTGCAACATTCCTCTTGACCGAGCAGTTTGGAAACATTGTTTCTGTAGAATCTGCAAGTGGATATATGGACCTTCTTTGAGGCCTTCGTTGGAAACGGGATTTCTTCCTATAAACCCAGACAGAAGAATTCTCAGAGACTTCTTTGTGATGTGTGAATTCAACTCACAGTGTGGATCCTTCCTTTTGATAGAGCAGTTTTGAAACACTGTTTTTGTAGTATTTCCAAGCGGATATTTGGAACGCCTTGAAGCGTATGGTAGAAAAGGAAATATCTTCCCATAAAACCTAGACAGAACCCATCTCAGAAACGACTTTGTGATGTCTGCATTCAACTCACAGAGTTGAACATTTCTCTTGATAGAGCAGTTTTGAAACCCTCTTTCTGAAGGATCTGCAAGTGGATATTTGGAACTCCTTTGGGTCTTCGTTGGAAACGGGATTTCTTCGTATAAATCCAGACAGAAGAATTCTCCGAAACTTCTTTGGTTGTGTGCATTCAAGTCACAGAGTGGAACCTTCCTTTGGATAGAGCAGTTTGAAACGCTGTGGTTGTAGTATTTCCAAGCGGATATTAGAGCGCCTTGAAGCCTATGGTAGAAAAGGAAATATCTTCCCATAAAACCTAGACGGAAGCAATCTCAGAAACTACTGTGTGATGGCTGCATTCCACACACACGGTGGAACATTTCTCTTGATAGAGCAGTTTTGAAACACTCTTTCTGTAGAATCTGCAAGTGGATAATTGGACCGCCTTGAGGCCTTCGTTGGAAACGGGATTTCTTCATGTTACTCTAGACAGAAGAATTCTCAAACACTGCTATGTGATGTTTGCATTCAAGTCACAGAGTGCAACATTCCTCTTGATAGAGCAGTTGGGAAACACTCCTTTTGTAGAATTTGCAATGGGATATTTGGACTTCTTTGAGGCCTTCGTTGGAAACGGGATTTCTTCGTATGAATCTAGACAGAAGAATTCTCAGAAACTTCCTTGTGATGTGTGCATTCAACTCAGCGAGTGGCACCTTCCTTTGGATACAGCAGTTTTGAAACACTGTTTTTGTAGTATTTCCAAGCGGATATTTAGAGCGCCTTGAAGCCTATGCTAGAAATGGAAATATCTCCCCATAAAACCAAGACAGAAGCAATCTCAGAAACTAATGTGTGATGGCTGCATTCCACACACACGGTGGACCATTTCTCTTGATAGAGCAGTTTTGAAACACTCTTTCTGTAGAATCTGCAAGTGGATAATTGGACCTCCTAGAGGCCTTCGTTGGAAACGGGATTTCTTCATCTAAACCTACAGAGAAGAATTCTCAGTAACTTCTTCGGATGTGTGCATTCGACTCACAGAATGGAACATTCCGTTTGATAGAGCAGTTTTGAGACACCGTTTTTGTAGAATTCCCAAGTGGATATTTAGAGCACTTTGAAGTCTCTGCTAGAAAAGGAAACATCTTCATGTAAAAAGTAGATAGAATCGTTCTCAGAAAGTGCTTAGTGACGTGTGCGTTCAACTCACAGAGTTTAACGTTTCTTTTGATAGAGCGTTTCTGAAACACCCTTCTTGTAGTAGCTGCAAGTGGATATTTGGACCTATTTGAGGCCTTCTTTGGAAACGGGATTTCTTCATGTAACTCTAGTTTGAAGAATTTTCAGAAACTCCTTTGTGATGTGTGCATTCAATTCAAAGAGTGAAACCTCCCTTTTCACAGAGCAGTTTTGAAACACTGTTTTTGTAGGATTTCCAAGGGGATATTTATAGCGCATTGAGCCTACGGCAGAAAAAGAAACATCTTCCTATAAAAACTAGACAGAATAATTCTCAGAATCTGCTTTGCGATGTGTGTGTTCAACCCACAGAGTAAAACTTTTCTTTGGATAGAGCAGTTTTGAAACACTCTTTTTGTAGTATTTGCATGTGTATATTTAGAGCGCATTGAAGCACACAGTAGAAAAGGAAATAACTTCACCTAAAACCTAGACAGAAGCAATCTCAGAAACTACTTTGTGATGTGTACATTCAACTCACAGAGTGGAACTTTCCTCTTTATAGAGCAGTGTTGAAACACTCTTTTGGTAGAAACTGCAAGTGGATATTTGGACCTCTTTGAGGCCTTCGTTGGAAACGGGATTTCTTCCTATAACCCTAGACAGAAGAATTTTCAGAAACCTCATTGTGATGTGTGCGTTCATCTCACAGAGTGGAGTCTTCCGTTTGATAGAGAAGTTTTGAAACCCTGTTCTTGTAGGATTTCCAAGTGGATATTTAGACCACTTTGAAGCCTATGATAGAAAAGGAAACATCTTCATGGAAAACATAGATAGAATCATTCTCAGAAACAACTTTGTGATGTGTGCGTTGAACTCACCGTCTTTAACCTTTCTTTTGGTAGAGAAGTTTTGAAACACTCTCTTTGTAAAGTCTACAAGTGGATATTTTGAGCCCTTGGAGGCATTCTTTGGAAAAGGGAATGTCTTCACATAAAAGGCAGACAGAAGTGTTCTCAGAAACTGCTTTGTGATGTCTGTGTTCAACTCACAGAGTTTAACATTTCCTTTGAGAGAGCGGTTTAGTAACACTCTCTTTGTAGAATTTGGAAGTGTATACTAAGAGCGCTTTGAGGCCTATGGTAGAAAAGGAAATATCTTTCCATAAAAGCTAGACAGAAGCAATCTCAGAAACTCCTTTGTGATGTCTGCATTCAACTCACCGAGTGGAACATTCCTCTTGATAGAGCAGTTTGGAAACACTCTTTCTGTAGAATCAGCTTGTTTGTATTTGGACCTCCTTGAGGCCTTCGTTGGAAACGGGTTTTCATCTTATAAACCCAGACAGAAGAATTCTCAGAGTCTTCTTTGTGATGTGTGCTTTCAACTCACCGAGATAAAGATTTCTCTTGATAGAGCAATTTGGAAACACTCTTTTTGTAGAATTTGCAAGGGTACATTGAGAGCGCTTTCAGGCCTATGGTAGAAAAGGGAATATCTTTCCATAAAAGGTAGACAGAAGCAATCTCAGCAAACTACTTTGTGATGTGTGCATTCAACTCACCGAGTGCAACATTCCTCTTGACCGAGCAGTTTGGAAACATTGTTTCTGTAGAATCTGCAAGTGGATATTTGGACCTCTTTGAGGCCTTCGTTGGAAACGGGATTTCTTCCTATAAACCCAGACAGAAGAATTCTCAGAGATTTCTTTGTGATGTGTGAATTCAACTCACAGTGTGGATCCTTCCTTTTGATAGAGCAGTTTTGAAACACTGTTTTTGTAGTATTTCCAAGCAGATATTTGGAACGCCTTGAAGCGTATAGTAGAAAAGGAAATATCTTCCCATAAAACCTAGACAGAACCCATCTCAGAAACGACTTTGTGATGTCTGCATTCAACTCACAGAGTTGAACATTTCTCTTGATAGAGCAGTTTTGAAACCCTCTTTCTGAAGGATCTGCAAGTGGATATTTGGAACTCCTTTGGGTCTTCGTTGGAAACGGGATTTCTTCGTATAAATCCAGACAGAAGAATTCTCCGAAACTTCTTTGGTTGTGTGCATTCAAGTCACAGAGTGGAACCTTCCTTTGGATAGAGCAGTTTGAAACGCTGTGGTTGTAGTATTTCCAAGCGGATATTAGAGCGCCTTGAGGCCTATGGTAGAAAAGGAAATATCTTCCCATAAAACCTAGACGGAAGCAATCTCAGAAACTACTGTGTGATGGCTGCATTCCACACACACGGTGGAACATTTCTCTTGATAGAGCAGTTTTGAAACACTCTTTCTGTAGAATCTGCAAGTGGATAATTGGACCGCCTTGAGGCCTTCGTTGGAAACGGGATTTCTTCATGTTACTCTAGACAGAAGAATTCTCAAACACTGCTATGTGATGTTTGCATGCAAGTCACAGAGTGCAACATTCCTCTTGATAGAGCAGTTGGGAAACACTCCTTTTGTAGAATTTGCAATGGGATATTTGGACTTCTTTGAGGCCTTCGTTGGAAACGGGATTTCTTCGTATGAATCTAGACAGAAGAATTCTCAGAAACTTCCCTTGTGATGTGTGCATTCAACTCAGCGAGTGGCACCTTCCCTTTGGATACAGCAGTTTTGAAACACTGTTTTTGTAGTATTTCCAAGCGGATATTTAGAGCGCCTTGAAGCCTATGCTAGAAATGGAAATATCTCCCCATAAAACCAAGACAGAAGCAATCTCAGAAACTAATGTGTGATGGCTGCATTCCACACACACGGTGGACCATTTCTCTTGATAGAGCAGTTTTGAAACACTCTTTCTGTAGAATCTGCAAGTGGATAATTGGACCTCCTAGAGGCCTTCGTTGGAAACGGGATTTCTTCATCTAAACCTACAGAGAAGAATTCTCAGTAACTTCTTCGGATGTGTGCATTCGACTCACAGAATGGAACATTCCCTTTGGTAGAGCAGTTTTGAGACACCGTTTTTGTAGAATTCCCAAGTGGATATTTAGAGCACTTTGAAGTCTCTGGTAGAAAAGGAAACATCTTCATGTAAAAAGTAGATAGAATCGTTCTCAGAAAGTGCTTAGTGACGTGTGCGTTCAACTCACAGAGTTTAACGTTTCTTTTGATAGAGCGTTTCTGAAACACCCTTCTTGTAGTAGCTGCAAGTGGATATTTGGACCTATTTGAGGCCTTCTTTGGAAACGGGATTTCTTCATGTAACTCTAGATTGAAGAATTTTCAGAAACTCCTTTGTGATGTGTGCATTCAATTCAAAGAGTGAAACCTCCCTTTTCACAGAGCAGTTTTGAAACACTGTTTTTGTAGGATTTCCAAGGGGATATTTATAGCGCATTGAGCCTATGGCAGAAAAAGAAACATCTTCCTATAAAAACTAGACAGAATAATTCTCAGAATCTGCTTTGCGATGTGTGCGTTCAACTCACAGAGTAAAACTTTTCTTTTGATAGAGCAGTTTTGAAACACTCTTTTTGTAGTATTTGCATGTGTATATTTAGAGCGCATTGAAGCCCACAGTAGAAAAGGAAATAACTTCACCTAAAACCTAGACAGAAGCAATCTCAGAAACTACTTTGTGATGTGTACATTCAACTCACAGAGTGGAACTTTTCTCTTTATAGAGCAGTGTTGAAACACTCTTTTTGTAGAAACTGCAAGTGGATATTTGGACCTCTTTGAGGCCTTCGTTGGAAACGGGATTTCTTCCTATAACCCTAGACAGAAGAATTTTCAGAAACCTCATTGTGATGTGTGCGTTCATCTCACAGAGTGGAGTCTTCCGTTTGATAGAGAAGTTTTGAAACCCTGTTCTTGTAGGATTTCCAAGTGGATATTTAGACCACTTTGAAGCCTATGATAGAAAAGGAAACATCTTCATGGAAAACATAGATAGAATCATTCTCAGAAACAACTTTGTGATGTGTGCGTTGAACTCACAGTCTTTAACCTTTCTTTAGGTAGAGAAGTTTTGAAACACTCTCTTTGTAAAGTCTACAAGTGGATATTTTGGGCCCTTGGAGGCATTCTTTGGAAAAGGGAATGTCTTCACATAAAAGGCAGACAGAAGTGTTCTCAGAAACTGCTTTGTGATGTCTGTGTTCAACTCACAGAGTTTAACATTTCCTTTGATAGAGCAGTTTAGTAACACTCTCTTTGTAGAATTTGGAAGTGTATACTAAGAGCGCTTTGAGGCCTATGGTAGAAAAAGAAATATCTTTCCATAAAAGCTAGACAGAAGCAATCTCAGAAACTCCTTTGTGATGTCTGCATTCAACTCACCGAGTGGAACATTCCTCTTGATTGAGCAGTTTGGAAACACTCTTTCTGTAGAATCAGCTTGTTTGTATTTGGATCTCCTTGAGGCCTTCGTTGGAAACGGGTTTTCATCTTATAAACCCAGACAGAAGAATTCTCAGAGTCTTCTTTGTGATGTGTGCTTTCAACTCACCGAGATAAAGATTTCTCTTGATAGAGCAATTTGGAAACACTCTTTTTGTAGAATTTGCAAGGGTACATTGAGAGCGCTTTCAGGCCTATGGTAGAAAAGGGAATATCTTTCCATAAAAGGTAGACAGAAGCAATCTCAGAAACTACTTTGTGATGTGTGCATTCAACTCACCGAGTGCAACATTCCTCTTGACCGAGCAGTTTGGAAACATTGTTTCTGTAGAATCTGCAAGTGGATATTTGGACCTCTTTGAGGCCTTCGTTGGAAACGGGATTTCTTCCTATAAACCCAGACAGAAGAATTCTCAGAGACTTCTTTGTGATGTGTGAATTCAACTCACAGTGTGGATCCTTCCTTTTGATAGAGCAGTTTTGAAACACTGTTTTTGTAGTATTTCCAAGCGGATATTTGGAACGCCTTGAAGCGTATGGTAGAAAAGGAAATATCTTCCCATAAAACCTAGACAGAACCAATCTCAGAAACGACTTTGTGATGTCTGCATTCAACTCACAGAGTTGAACATTTCTCTTGATAGAGCAGTTTTGAAACCCTCTTTCTGAAGGATCTGCAAGTGGATATTTGGAACTCCTTTGGGTCTTCGTTGGAAACGGGATTTCTTCGTATAAATCTAGACAGAAGAATTCTCCGAAACTTCTTTGGTTGTGTGCATTCAACTCACAGAGTGGAACCTTCCTTTGGATAGAGCAGTTTGAAACGCTGTGGTTGTAGTATTTCCAAGCGGATATTAGAGCGCCTTGAGGCCTATGGTAGAAAAGGAAATATCTTCCCATAAAACCTAGACGGAAGCAATCTCAGAAACTACTGTGTGATGGCTGCATTCCACACACACGGTGGAACATTTCTCTTGATAGAGCAGTTTTGAAACACTCTTTCTGTAGAATCTGCAAGTGGATAATTGGACCGCCTTGAGGCCTTCGTTGGAAACGGGATTTCTTCATGTTACTCTAGACAGAAGAATTCTCAAACACTGCTATGTGATGTTTGCATGCAAGTCACAGAGTGCAACATTCCTCTTGATAGAGCAGTTGGGAAACACTCCTTTTGTAGAATTTGCAATGGGATATTTGGACTTCTTTGAGGCCTTCGTTGGAAACGGGATTTCTTCGTATGAATCTAGACAGAAGAATTCTCAGAAACTTCCTTGTGATGTGTGCATTCAACTCAGCGAGTGGCACCTTCCTTTGGATACAGCAGTTTTGAAACACTGTTTTTGTAGTATTTCCAAGCGGATATTTAGAGCGCCTTGAAGCCTATGCTAGAAATGGAAATATCTCCCCATAAAACCAAGACAGAAGCAATCTCAGAAACTAATGTGTGATGGCTGCATTCCACACACACGGTGGACCATTTCTCTTGATAGAGCAGTTTTGAAACACTCTTTCTGTAGAATCTGCAAGTGGATAATTGGACCTCCTAGAGGCCTTCGTTGGAAACGGGATTTCTTCATCTAAACCTACAGAGAAGAATTCTCAGTAACTTCTTCGGATGTGTGCATTCGACTCACAGAATGGAACATTCCCTTTGATAGAGCAGTTTTGAGACACCGTTTTTGTAGAATTCCCAAGTGGATATTTAGAGCACTTTGAAGTCTCTGCTAGAAAAGGAAACATCTTCATGTAAAAAGTAGATAGAATCGTTCTCAGAAAGTGCTTAGTGACGTGTGTGTTCAACTCACAGAGTTTATCGTTTCTTTTGATAGAGCGTTTCTGAAACACCCTTCTTGTAGTAGCTGCAAGTGGATATTTGGACCTATTTGAGGCCTTCTTTGGAAACGGGATTTCTTCATGTAACTCTAGATTGAAGAATTTTCAGAAACTCCTTTGTGATGTGTGCATTCAATTCAAAGAGTGAAACCTCCCTTTTCACAGAGCAGTTTTGAAACACTGTTTTTGTAGGATTTCCAAGGGGATATTTATAGCGCATTGATCCTATGGCAGAAAAAGAAACATCTTCCTATAAAAACTAGACAGAATAATTCTCAGAATCTGCTTTGCGATGTGTGCGTTCAACTCACAGAGTAAAACTTTTCTTTTGATAGAGCAGTTTTGAAACACTCTTTTTGTAGTATTTGCATGTGTATATTTAGAGCGCATTGAAGCCCACAGTAGAAAAGGAAATAACTTCACCTAAAACCTAGACAGAAGCAATCTCAGAAACTACTTTGTGATGTGTACATTCAACTCACAGAGTGGAACTTTCCTCTTTATAGAGCAGTGTTGAAACACTCTTTTTGTAGAAACTGCAAGTGGATATTTGGACCTCTTTGAGGCCTTCGTTGGAAACGGGATTTCTTCCTATAACCCTAGACAGAAGAATTTTCAGAAACCTCATTGTGATGTGTGCGTTCATCTCACAGAGTGGAGTCTTCCGTTTGATAGAGAAGTTTTGAAACCCTGTTCTTGTAGGATTTCCAAGTGGATATTTAGACCACTTTGAAGCCTATGATAGAAAAGGAAACATCTTCATGGAAAACATAGATAGAATCATTCTCAGAAACAACTTTGTGATGTGTGCGTTGAACTCACCGTCTTTAACCTTTCTTTTGGTAGAGAAGTTTTGAAACACTCTCTTTGTAAAGTCTACAAGTGGATATTTTGAGCCCTTGGAGGCATTACTTTGGAAAAGGGAATGTCTTCACATAAAAGGCAGACAGAAGTGTTCTCAGAAACTGCTTTGTGATGTCTGTGTTCAACTCACAGAGTTTAACATTTCCTGTGATGGAGCGGTTTAGTAACCCTCTCATTGTAGAATTTGGAAGTGTATACTAAGAGCGCTTTGAGGCCTATGGTAGAAAAGGAAATATCTTTCCATAAAAGCTAGACAGAAGCAATCTCAGAAACTCCTTTGTGATGTCTGCATTCAACTCACCGAGTGGAACATTCCTCTTGATAGAGCAGTTTGGAAACACTCTTTCTGTAGAATCAGCTTGTTTGTATTTGGACCTCCTTGAGGCCTTCGTTGGAAACGGGTTTTCATCTTATAAACCCAGACAGAAGAATTCTCAGAGTCTTCTTTGTGATGTGTGCTTTCAACTCACCGAGATAAAGATTTCTCTTGATAGAGCAATTTGGAAACACTCTTTTTGTAGAATTTGCAAGGGTACATTGAGAGCGCTTTCAGGCCTATGGTAGAAAAGGGAATATCTTTCCATAAAAGGTAGACAGAAGCAATCTCAGAAACTACTTTGTGATGTGTGCATTCAACTCACCGAGTGCAACATTCCTCTTGATAGAGCAGTTTGGAAACATTGTTTCTGTAGAATCTGCAAGTGGATATATGGACCGCTTTGAGGCCTTCGTTGGAAACGGGATTTCTTCCTATAAACCCAGACAGAAGAATTCTCAGAGATTTCTTTGTGATGTGTGAATTCAACTCACAGTGTGGATCCTTCCTTTTGATAGAGCAGTTTTGAAACACCGTTTTTGTAGTATTTCCAAGTGGATATTTGGAACGCCTTGAAGCGTATGGTAGAAAAGGAAATATCTTCCCATAAAACCTAGACAGAACCCATCTCAGAAACGACTTTGTGATGTCTGCATTCAACTCACAGAGTTGAACATTTCTCTTGATAGAGCAGTTTTGAAACCCTCTTTCTGAAGGATCTGCAAGTGGATATTTGGAACTCCTTTGGGTCTTCGTTGGAAACGGGATTTCTTCGTATAAATCCAGACAGAAGAATTCTCCGAAACTTCTTTGGTTGTGTGCATTCAAGTCACAGAGTGGAACCTTCCTTTGGATAGAGCAGTTTGAAACGCTGTGGTTGTAGTATTTCCAAGCGGATATTAGAGCGCCTTGAAGCCTACGGTAGAAAAGGAAATATCTTCCCATAAAACCTAGACGGAAGCAATCTCAGAAACTACTGTGTGATGGCTGCATTCCACACACACGGTGGAACATTTCTCTTGATAGAGCAGTTTTGAAACACTCTTTCTGTAGAATCTGCAAGTGGATAATTGGACCGCCTTGAGGCCTTCGTTGGAAACGGGATTTCTTCATGTTACTCTAGACAGAAGAATTCTCAAACACTGCTGTGTGATGTTTGCATGCAAGTCACAGAGTGCAACATTCCTCTTGATAGAGCAGTTGGGAAACACTCCTTTTGTAGAATTTGCAATGGGATATTTGGACTTCTTTGAGGCCTTCGTTGGAAACGGGATTTCTTCGTATGAATCTAGACAGAAGAATTCTCAGAAACTTCCTTGTGATGTGTGCATTCAACTCAGCGAGTGGCACCTTCCTTTGGATACAGCAGTTTTGAAACACTGTTTTTGTAGTATTTCCAAGCGGATATTTAGAGCGCCTTGAAGCCTATGCTAGAAATGGAAATATCTCCCCATAAAACCAAGACAGAAGCAATCTCAGAAACTAATGTGTGATGGCTGCATTCCACACACACGGTGGACCATTTCTCTTGATAGAGCAGTTTTGAAACACTCTTTCTGTAGAATCTGCAAGTGGATAATTGGAACTCCTAGAAGCCTTCGTTGGAAATGGGATTTCTTCATCTAAACCTACAGAGAAGAATTCTCAGTAACTTCTTCGGATGTGTGCATTCGACTCACAGAATGGAACATTCCCTTTGATAGAGCAGTTTTGAGACACCGTTTTTGTAGAATTCCCAAGTGGATATTGAGAGCACTTTGAAGTCTCTGCTAGAAAAGGAAACATCTTCCTGTAAAAAGTAGATACAATCGTTCTCAGAAAGTGCTTAGTGACGTGTGCGTTCAACTCACAGAGTGTAACGTTTCTTTTGATAGAGCGTTTCTGAAACACCCTTCTTGTAGTAGCTGCAAGTGGATATTTGGACCTATTGGAGGCCTTCTTTGGAAACGGGATTTCTTCATGTAACTCTAGATTGAAGAATTCCCAGAAACTCCTTTGTGATGTGTGCATTCAATTCAAAGAGTGAAACCTCCCTTTTCACAGAGCAGTTTTGAAACACTGTTTTTGTAGGATTTCCAAGGGGATATTTATAGCGCATTGAGCCTACGGCAGAAAAAGAAACATCTTCCTATAAAAACTAGACAGAATAATTCTCAGAATCTGCTTTGCGATGTGTGCGTTCAACCCACAGAGTAAAACTTTTCTTTTGATAGAGCAGTTTTGAAACACTCTTTTTGTAGTATTTGCATGTGTATATTTAGAGCGCATTGAAGCCCACAGTAGAAAAGGAAATAACTTCACCTAAAACCTAGACAGAAGCAATCTCAGAAACTACTTTGTGATGTGTACATTCAACCTCACAGAGTGGAACTTTCCTCTTTATAGAGCAGTGTTGAAACACTCTTTTTGTAGAAACTGCAAGTGGATATTTGGACCTCTTTGAGGCCTTCGTTGGAAACGGGATTTCTTCCTATAACCCTAGACAGAAGAATTTTCAGAAACCTCATTGTGATGTGTGCGTTCATCTCACAGAGTGGAGTCTTCCGTTTGATAGAGAAGTTTTGAAACCCTGTTCTTGTAGGATTTCCAAGTGGATATTTAGACCACTTTGAAGCCTATGATAGAAAAGGAAACATCTTCATGGAAAACATAGATAGAATCATTCTCAGAAACAACTTTGTGATGTGTGCGTTGAACTCACCGTCTTTAACCTCTCTTTTGGTAGAGAAGTTTTGAAACACTCTCTTTGTAAAGTCTACAAGTGGATATTTTGAGCCCTTGGAGGCATTCTTTGGAAAAGGGAATGTCTTCACATAAAAGGCAGACAGAAGTGTTCTCAGAAACTGCTTTGTGATGTCTGTGTTCAACTCACAGAGTTTAACATTTCCTTTGAGAGAGCGGTTTAGTAACACTCTCTTTGTAGAATTTGGAAGTGTATACTAAGAGCGCTTTGAGGCCTATGGTAGAAAAGGAAATATCTTTCCATAAAAGCTAGACAGAAGCAATCTCAGAAACTCCTTTGTGATGTCTGCATTCAACTCACCGAGTGGAACATTCCTCTTGATAGAGCAGTTTGGAAACACTCTTTCTGTAGAATCAGCTTGTTTGTATTTGGACCTCCTTGAGGCCTTCGTTGGAAACGGGTTTTCATCTTATAAACCCAGACAGAAGAATTCTCAGAGTCTTCTTTGTGATGTGTGCTTTCAACTCACCGAGATAAAGATTTCTCTTGATAGAGCAATTTGGAAACACTCTTTTTGTAGAATTTGCAAGGGTACATTGAGAGCGCTTTCAGGCCTATGGTAGAAAAGGGAATATCTTTCCATAAAAGGTAGACAGAAGCAATCTCAGAAACTACTTTGTGATGTGTGCATTCAACTCCCCGAGTGCAACATTCCTCTTGATAGAGCAGTTTGGAAACATTGTTTCTGTAGAATCTGCAAGTGGATATATGGACCGCTTTGAGGCCTTCGTTGGAAACGGGATTTCTTCCTATAAACCCAGACAGAAGAATTCTCAGAGACTTCTTTGTGATGTGTGAATTCAACTCACAGTGTGGATCCTTCCTTTTGATAGAGCAGTTTTGAAACACTGTTTTTGTAGTATTTCCAAGCGGATATTTGGAACGCCTTGAAGCGTATGGTAGAAAAGGAAATATCTTCCCATAAAACCTAGACAGAACCAATCTCAGAAACGACTTTGCGATGTCTGCATTCAACTCACAGAGTTGAACATTTCTCTTGATAGAGCAGTTTTGAAACCCTCTTTCTGAAGGATCTGCAAGTGGATATTT
The DNA here is from genome assembly GCF_000001405.40 of Homo sapiens. Lineage (NCBI taxonomy): Eukaryota > Metazoa > Chordata > Mammalia > Primates > Hominidae > Homo > Homo sapiens. The sequence continues at coordinate 59,261,470 of NC_000006.12, forward strand.
GGAACTCCTTTGGGTCTTCGTTGGAAACGGGATTTCTTCGTATAAATCTAGACAGAAGAATTCTCCGAAACTTCTTTGGTTGTGTGCATTCAACTCACAGAGTGGAACCTTCCTTTGGATAGAGCAGTTTGAAACGCTGTGGTTGTAGTATTTCCAAGCGGATATTAGAGCGCCTTGAGGCCTATGGTAGAAAAGGAAATATCTTCCCATAAAACCTAGACGGAAGCAATCTCAGAAACTACTGTGTGATGGCTGCATTCCACACACACGGTGGAACATTTCTCTTGATAGAGCAGTTTTGAAACACTCTTTCTGTAGAATCTGCAAGTGGATAATTGGACCGCCTTGAGGCCTTCGTTGGAAACGGGATTTCTTCATGTTACTCTAGACAGAAGAATTCTCAAACACTGCTGTGTGATGTTTGCATGCAAGTCACAGAGTGCAACATTCCTCTTGATAGAGCAGTTGGGAAACACTCCTTTTGTAGAATGTGCAATGGGATATTTGGACTTCTTTGAGGCCTTCGTTGGAAACGGGATTTCTTCGTATGAATCTAGACAGAAGAATTCTCAGAAACTTCCTTGTGATGTGTGCATTCAACTCAGCGAGTGGCACCTTCCTTTGGATACAGCAGTTTTGAAACACTGTTTTTGTAGTATTTCCAAGCGGATATTTAGAGCGCCTTGAAGCCTATGCTAGAAATGGAAATATCTCCCCATAAAACCAAGACAGAAGCAATCTCAGAAACTAATGTGTGATGGCTGCATTCCACACACACGGTGGACCATTTCTCTTGATAGAGCAGTTTTGAAACACTCTTTCTGTAGAATCTGCAAGTGGATAATTGGACCTCCTAGAGGCCTTCGTTGGAAACGGGATTTCTTCATCTAAACCTACAGAGAAGAATTCTCAGTAACTTCTTCGGATGTGTGCATTCGACTCACAGAATGGAACATTCCCTTTGATAGAGCAGTTTTGAGACACCGTTTTTGTAGAATTCCCAAGTGGATATTTAGAGCACTTTGAAGTCTCTGCTAGAAAAGGAAACATCTTCATGTAAAAAGTAGATAGAATCGTTCTCAGAAAGTGCTTAGTGACGTGTGCGTTCAACTCACAGAGTTTAACGTTTCTTTTGATAGAGCGTTTCTGAAACACCCTTCTTGTAGTAGCTGCAAGTGGATATTTGGACCTATTTGAGGCCTTCTTTGGAAACGGGATTTCTTCATGTAACTCTAGATTGAAGAATTTTCAGAAACTCCTTTGTGATGTGTGCATTCAATTCAAAGAGTGAAACCTCCCTTTTCACAGAGCAGTTTTGAAACACTGTTTTTGTAGGACTTCCAAGGGGATATTTATAGCGCATTGAGCCTATGGCAGAAAAAGAAACATCTTCCTATAAAAACTAGACAGAATAATTCTCAGAATCTGCTTTGCGATGTGTGCGTTCAACCCACAGAGTAAAACTTTTCTTTTGATAGAGCAGTTTTGAAACACTCTTTTTGTAGTATTTGCATGTGTATATTTAGAGCGCATTGAAGCCCACAGTAGAAAAGGAAATAACTTCACCTAAAACCTAGACAGAAGCAATCTCAGAAACTACTTTGTGATGTGTACATTCAACTCACAGAGTGGAACTTTCCCCTTTACAGAGCAGTGTTGAAACAATCTTTTTGTAGAAACTGCAGGTGGATATTTGGACCTCTTTGAGGCCTTTGTTGGAAACGGGATTTCTTCCTATAACCCTAGACAGAAGAATTTTCAGAAACCTCATTGTGATGTGTGCGTTCATCTCACAGAGTGGAGTCTTCCGTTTGATAGAGAAGTTTTGAAACCCTGTTCTTGTAGGATTTCCAAGTGGATATTTAGACCACTTTGAAGCCTATGATAGAAAAGGAAACATCTTCATGGAAAACATAGATAGAATCATTCTCAGAAACAACTTTGTGATGTGTGCGTTGAACTCACCGTCTTTAACCTTTCTTTTGGTAGAGAAGTTTTGAAACACTCTCTTTGTAAAGTCTACAAGTGGATATTTTGAGCCCTTGGAGGCATTCTTTGGAAAAGGGAATGTCTTCACATAAAAGGCAGACAGAAGTGTTCTCAGAAACTGCTTTGTGATGTCTGTGTTCAACTCACAGAGTTTAACATTTCCTTTGAGAGAGCGGTTTAGTAACACTCTCTTTGTAGAATTTGGAAGTGTATACTAAGAGCGCTTTGAGGCCTATGGTAGAAAAGGAAATATCTTTCCATAAAAGCTAGACAGAAGCAATCTCAGAAACTCCTTTGTGATGTCTGCATTCAACTCACCGAGTGGAACATTCCTCTTGATAGAGCAGTTTGGAAACACTCTTTCTGTAGAATCAGCTTGTTTGTATTTGGACCTCCTTGAGGCCTTCGTTGGAAACGGGTTTTCATCTTATAAACCCAGACAGAAGAATTCTCAGAGTCTTCTTTGTGATGTGTGCTTTCAACTCACCGAGATAAAGATTTCTCTTGATACAGCAATTTGGAAACACTCTTTTTGTAGAATTTGCAAGGGTACATTGAGAGCGCTTTCAGGCCTATGGTAGAAAAGGGAATATCTTTCCATAAAAGGTAGACAGAAGCAATCTCAGAAACTACTTTGTGATGTGTGCATTCAACTCACCGAGTGCAACATTCCTCTTGATAGAGCAGTTTGGAAACATTGTTTCTGTAGAATCTGCAAGTGGATATATGGACCGCTTTGAGGCCTTCGTTGGAAACGGGATTTCTTCCTATAAACCCAGACAGAAGAATTCTCAGAGACTTCTTTGTGATGTGTGAATTCAACTCACAGTGTGGATCCTTCCTTTTGATAGAGCAGTTTTGAAACACCGTTTTTGTAGTATTTCCAAGCGGATATTTGGAACGCCTTGAAGCGTATGGTAGAAAAGGAAATATCTTCCCATAAAACCTAGACAGAAGCAATCTCAGAAACGACTTTGTGATGTCTGCATTCAACTCACAGAGTTGAACATTTCTCTTGATAGAGCAGTTTTGAAACCCTCTTTCTGAAGGATCTGCAAGTGGATATTTGGAACTCCTTTGGGTCTTCGTTGGAAACGGGATTTCTTCGTATAAATCCAGACAGAAGAATTCTCCGAAACTTCTTTGGTTGTGTGCATTCAAGTCACAGAGTGGAACCTTCCTTTGGATAGAGCAGTTTGAAACGCTGTGGTTGTAGTATTTCCAAGCGGATATTAGAGCGCCTTGAGGCCTATGGTAGAAAAGGAAATATCTTCACATAAAACCTAGACGGAAGCAATCTCAGAAACTACTGTGTGATGGCTGCATTCCACACACACGGTGGAACATTTCTCTTGATAGAGCAGTTTTGAAACACTCTTTCTGTAGAATCTGCAAGTGGGTAATTGGACCGCCTTGAGGCCTTCGTTGGAAACGGGATTTCTTCATGTTACTCTAGACAGAAGAATTCTCAAACACTGCTATATGATGTTTGCATGCAAGTCACAGAGTGCAACATTCCTCTTGATAGAGCAGTTGGGAAACACTCCTTTTGTAGAATTTGCAATGGGATATTTGGACTTCTTTGAGGCCTTCGTTGGAAACGGGATTTCTTCGTATGAATCTAGACAGAAGAATTCTCAGAAACTTCCTTGTGATGTGTGCATTCAACTCAGCGAGTGGCACCTTCCTTTGGATACAGCAGTTTTGAAACACTGTTTTTGTAGTATTTCCAAGCGGATATTTAGAGCGCCTTGAAGCCTATGCTAGAAATGGAAATATCTCCCCATAAAACCAAGACAGAAGCAATCTCAGAAACTAATGTGTGATGGCTGCATTCCACACACACGGTGGACCATTTCTCTTGATAGAGCAGTTTTGAAACACTCTTTCTGTAGAATCTGCAAGTGGATAATTGGACCTCCTAGAGGCCTTCGTTGGAAACGGGATTTCTTCATCTAAACCTACAGAGAAGAATTCTCAGTAACTTCTTCGGATGTGTGCATTCGACTCACAGAATGGAACATTCCCTTTGGTAGAGCAGTTTTGAGACACCGTTTTTGTAGAATTCCCAAGTGGATATTTAGAGCACTTTGAAGTCTCTGGTAGAAAAGGAAACATCTTCATGTAAAAAGTAGATAGAATCGTTCTCAGAAAGTGCTTAGTGACGTGTGCGTTCAACTCACAGAGTTTAACGTTTCTTTTGATAGAGCGTTTCTGAAACACCCTTCTTGTAGTAGCTGCAAGTGGATATTTGGACCTATTTGAGGCCTTCTTTGGAAACGGGATTTCTTCATGTAACTCTAGATTGAAGAATTTTCAGAAACTCCTCTGTGATGTGTGCATTCAATTCAAAGAGTGAAACCTCCCTTTCCAGAGAGCAGTTTTGAAACACTGTTTTTGTAGGATTTCCAAGGGGATATTTATAGCGCATTGAGCCTACGGCAGAAAAAGAAACATCTTCCTATAAAAACTAGACAGAATAATTCTCAGAATCTGCTTTGCGATGTGTGCGTTCAACCCACAGAGTAAAACTTTTCTTTTGATAGAGCAGTTTTGAAACACTCTTTTTGTAGTATTTGCATGTGTATATTTAGAGCGCATTGAAGCCCACAGTAGAAAAGGAAATAACTTCACCTAAAACCTAGACAGAAGCAATCTCAGAAACTATTTTGTGATGTGTACATTCAACTCACAGAGTGGAACTTTCCTCTTTATAGAGCAGTGTTGAAACACTCTTTTTGTAGAAACTGCAAGTGGATATTTGGACCTCTTTGAGGCCTTCGTTGGAAACGGGATTTCTTCCTATAACCCTAGACAGAAGAATTTTCAGAAACCTCATTGTGATGTGTGCTGTTCATCTCACAGAGTGGAGTCTTCCGTTTGATAGAGAAGTTTTGAAACCCTGTTCTTGTAGGATTTCCAAGTGGATATTTAGACCACTTTGAAGCCTATGATAGAAAAGGAAACATCTTCATGGAAAACATAGATAGAATCATTCTCAGAAACAACTTTGTGATGTGTGCGTTGAACTCACCGTCTTTAACCTTTCTTTTGGTAGAGAAGTTTTGAAACACTCTCTTTGTAAAGTCTACAAGTGGATATTTTGAGCCCTTGGAGGCATTCTTTGGAAAAGGGAATGTCTTCACATAAAAGGCAGACAGAAGTGTTCTCAGAAACTGCTTTGTGATGTCTGTGTTCAACTCACAGAGTTTAACATTTCCTTTGAGAGAGCGGTTTAGTAACACTCTCTTTGTAGAATTTGGAAGTGTATACTAAGAGCGCTTTGAGGCCTATGGTAGAAAAGGAAATATCTTTCCATAAAAGCTAGACAGAAGCAATCTCAGAAACTCCTTTGTGATGTCTGCATTCAACTCACCGAGTGGAACATTCCTCTTGATAGAGCAGTTTGGAAACACTCTTTCTGTAGAATCAGCTTGTTTGTATTTGGACCTCCTTGAGGCCTTCGTTGGAAACGGGTTTTCATCTTATAAACCGAGACAGAAGAATTCTCAGAGTCTTCTTTGTGATGTGTGCTTTCAACTCACCGAGATAAAGATTTCTCTTGATAGAGCAATTTGGAAACACTCTTTTTGTAGAATTTGCAAGGGTACATTGAGAGCGCTTTCAGGCCTATGGTAGAAAAGGGAATATCTTTCCATAAAAGGTAGACAGAAGCAATCTCAGAAACTACTTTGTGATGTGTGCATTCAACTCACCGAGTGCAACATTCCTCTTGACCGAGCAGTTTGGAAACATTGTTTCTGTAGAATCTGCAAGTGGATGTTTGGACCTCTTTGAGGCCTTCGTTGGAAACGGGATTTCTTCCTATAAACCCAGACAGAAGAATTCTCAGAGACTTCTTTGTGATGTGTGAATTCAACTCACAGTGTGGATCCTTCCTTTTGATAGAGCAGTTTTGAAACACTGTTTTTGTAGTATTTCCAAGCGGATATTTGGAACGCCTTGAAGCGTATGGTAGAAAAGGAAATATCTTCCCATAAAACCTAGACAGAACCAATCTCAGAAACGACTTTGTGATGTCTGCATTCAACTCACAGAGTTGAACATTTCTCTTGATAGAGCAGTTTTGAAACCCTCTTTCTGAAGGATCTGCAAGTGGATATTTGGAACTCCTTTGGGTCTTCGTTGGAAACGGGATTTCTTCGTATAAATCTAGACAGAAGAATTCTCCGAAACTTCTTTGGTTGTGTGCATTCAAGTCACAGAGTGGAACCTTCCTTTGGATAGAGCAGTTTGAAACGCTGTGGTTGTAGTATTTCCAAGCGGATATTAGAGCGCCTTGAGGCCTATGGTAGAAAAGGAAATATCTTCCCATAAAACCTAGACGGAAGCAATCTCAGAAACTACTGTGTGATGGCTGCATTCCACACACACGGTGGAACATTTCTCTTGATAGAGCAGTTTTGAAACACTCTTTCTGTAGAATCTGCAAGTGGATAATTGGACCGCCTTGAGGCCTTCGTTGGAAACGGGATTTCTTCATGTTACTCTAGAGAGAAGAATTCTCAAACACTACTATGTGATGTTTGCATGCAAGTCACAGAGTGCAACATTCCTCTTGATAGAGCAGTTGGGAAACACTCCTTTTGTAGAATTTGCAATGGGATATTTGGACTTCTTTGAGGCCTTCGTTGGAAACGGGATTTCTTCGTATAAATCTAGACAGAAGAATTTTCAGAAACTCCTTTGTGATGTGTGCATTCAATTCAAAGAGTGAAACCTCCCTTTTCATAGAGCAGTTTTGAAACACTGTTTTTGTAGGATTTCCAAGGGGATATTTATAGCGCATTGAGCCTATGGCAGAAAAAGAAACATACTTCGTATAAAAACTAGACAGAAGCAATCTCAGAAACTACTTTGTGATGTGTACATTCAACTCACAGAGTGGAACTTTCCTCTTTATAGAGCAGTGTTGAAACACTCTTTTTGCAGAAACGGCAAGTGGATATTTGGACCTCTTTGAGGCCTTCGTTGGAAACGGGATTTCTTCCTATAACCCTAGACAGAAGAATTTTCAGAAACCTCATTGTGATATGTGCGTTCATCTCACAGAGTGGAGTCTTCCGTTTGATAAAGAAGTTTTGAAACCCTGTTCTTCTAGGATTTCCAAGTGGATATTTAGACCACTTTGAAGCCTATGTTAGAAAAGGAAACATCTTCATGGAAAACATAGATAGAATCATTGTCAGAAACAACTTTGTGATGTGTGCGTTGAACTCACCGTCTTTAACCTTTCTTTTGGTAGAGAAGTTTTGAAACACTCTCTTTGTAAAGTCTACAAGTGGATATTTTGAGCCCTTGGAGGCATTCTTTGGAAAAGGGAATGTCTTCACATAAAAGGCAGACAGAAGTGTTCTCAGAAACTGCTTTGTGATGTCTGTGTTCAACTCACAGAGTTTAACATTTCCTTTGAGAGAGCGGTTTAGTAACACTCTCTTTGTAGAATTTGGAAGTGTATACTAAGAGCGCTTTGAGGCCTATGGTAGAAAAGGAAGTATCTTTCCATAAAAGCTAGACAGAAGCAATCTCAGAAACTCCTTTGTGATGTCTGCATTCAACTCACCGAGTGGAACATTCCTCTTGATAGAGCAGTTTGGAAACACTCTTTCTGTAGAATCAGCTTGTTTGTATTTGGACCTCCTTGAGGCCTTCGTTGGAAACGGGTTTTCATCTTATAAACCCAGACAGAAGAATTCTCAGAGTCTTCTTTGTGATGTGTGCTTTCAACTCACCGAGATAAAGATTTCTCTTGATAGAGCAATTTGGAAACACTCTTTTTGTAGAATTTGCAAGGGTACATTGAGAGCGCTTTCAGGCCTATGGTAGAAAAGGGAATATCTTTCCATAAAAGGTAGACAGAAGCAATCTCAGAAACTACTTTGTGATGTGTGCATTCAACTCACCGAGTGCAACATTCCTCTTGATAGAGCAGTTTGGAAACATTGTTTCTGTAGAATCTGCAAGTGGATATATGGACCGGCTTTGAGGCCTTCGTTGGAAACGGGATTTCTTCCTATAAACCCAGACAGAAGAATTCTCAGAGATTTCTTTGTGATGTGTGAATTCAACTCACAGTGTGGATCCTTCCTTTTGATAGAGCAGTTTTGAAACACTGTTTTTGTAGTATTTCCAAGCGGATATTTGGAACGCCTTGAAGCGTAAGGTAGAAAAGGAAATATCTTCCCATAAAACCTAGACAGAACCCATCTCAGAAACGACTTTGTGATGTCTGCATTCAACTCACAGAGTTGAACATTTCTCTTGATAGAGCAGTTTTGAAACCCTCTTTCTGAAGGATCTGCAAGTGGATATTTGGAACTCCTTTGGGTCTTCGTTGGAAACGGGATTTCTTCGTATAAATCCAGACAGAAGAATTCTCCGAAACTTCTTTGGTTGTGTGCATTCAAGTCACAGAGTGGAACCTTCCTTTGGATAGAGCATTTTGAAACGCTCTGGTTGTAGTATTTCCAAGCGGATATTAGAGAGCCTTGAAGCCTATGGTAGAAAAGGAAATATCTTCCCATAAAACCTAGACGGAAGCAATCTCAGAAACTACTGTGTGATGGCTGCATTCCACACACACGGTGGAACATTTCTCTTGATAGAGCAGTTTTGAAACACTCTTTCTGTAGAATCTGCAAGTGGATAATTGGACCGCCTTGAGGCCTTCGTTGGAAACGGGATTTCTTCATGTTACTCTAGACAGAAGAATTCTCAAACACTGCTGTGTGATGTTTGCATGCAAGTCACAGAGTGCAACATTCCTCTTGATAGAGCAGTTGGGAAACACTCCTTTTGTAGAATTTGCAATGGGATATTTGGACTTCTTTGAGGCCTTCGTTGGAAACGGGATTTCTTCGTATGAATCTAGACAGAAGAATTCTCAGAAACTTCCTTGTGATGTGTGCATTCAACTCAGCGAGTGGCACCTTCCTTTGGATACAGCAGTTTTGAAACACTGTTTTTGTAGTATTTCCAAGCGGATATTTAGAGCGCCTTGAAGCCTATGCTAGAAATGGAAATATCTCCCCATAAAACCAAGACAGAAGCAATCTCAGAAACTAATGTGTGATGGCTGCATTCCACACACACGGTGGACCATTTCTCTTGATAGAGCAGTTTTGAAACACTCTTTCTGTAGAATCTGCAAGTGGATAATTGGACCTCCTAGAGGCCTTCGTTGGAAACGGGATTTCTTCATCTAAACCTACAGAGAAGAATTCTCAGTAACTTCTTCGGATGTGTGCATTCGACTCACAGAATGGAACATTCCGTTTGATAGAGCAGTTTTGAGACACCGTTTTTGTAGAATTCCCAAGTGGATATTTAGAGCACTTTGAAGTCTCTGCTAGAAAAGGAAACATCTTCATGTAAAAAGTAGATAGAATCGTTCTCAGAAAGTGCTTAGTGACGTGTGCGTTCAACTCACAGAGTTTAACGTTTCTTTTGATAGAGCGTTTCTGAAACACCCTTCTTGTAGTAGCTGCAAGTGGATATTTGGACCTATTTGAGGCCTTCTTTGGAAACGGGATTTCTTCATGTAACTCTAGATTGAAGAATTCTCAGAAACTCCTTTGTGATGTGTGCATTCAATTCAAAGAGTGAAACCTCCCTTTTCACAGAGCAGTTTTGAAACACTGTTGTTGTAGGATTTCCAAGGGGATATTTATAGCGCATTGAGCCTACGGCAGAAAAAGAAACATCTCCCTATAAAAACTAGACAGAATAATTCTCAGAATCTGCTTTGCGATGTGTGCGTTCAACCCACAGAGTAAAACTTTTCTTTTGATAGAGCAGTTTTGAAACACTCTTTTTGTAGTATTTGCATGTGTATATTTAGAGCGCATTGAAGCCCACAGTAGAAAAGGAAATAACTTCACCTAAAACCTAGACAGAAGCAATCTCAGAAACTACTTTGTGATGTGTACATTCAACTCACAGAGTGGAACTTTCCTCTTTATAGAGCAGTGTTGAAACACTCTTTTTGTAGAAACTGCAAGTGGATATTTGGACCTCTTTGAGGCCTTCGTTGGAAACGGGATTTCTTCCTATAACCCTAGACAGAAGAATTTTCAGAAACCTCATTGTGATGTGTGCGTTCATCTCACAGAGTGGAGTCTTCCGCTTGATAGAGAAGTTTTGAAACCCTGTTCTTGTAGGATTTCCAAGTGGATATTTAGACCACTTTGAAGCCTATGATAGAAAAGGAAACATCTTCATGGAAAACATAGATAGAATCATTGTCAGAAACAACTTTGTGATGTGTGCATTGAACTCACCATCTTTAACCTTTCTTTTGGTAGAGAAGTTTTGAAACACTCTCTTTGTAAAGTCTACAAGTGGATATTTTGAGCCCTTGGAGGCATTCTTTGGAAAAGGGAATGTCTTCACATAAAAGGCAGACAGAAGTGTTCTCAGAAACTGCTTTGTGATGTCTGTGTTCAACTCACAGAGTTTAACATTTCCTTTGATAGAGCAGTTTAGTAACACTCTCTTTGTAGAATTTGGAAGTGTATACTAAGAGCGCCTTGAGGCCTATGGTAGAAAAGGAAATATCTTTCCATAAAAGCTAGACACAAGGAATCTCAGAAACTCCTTTGTGATGTTTGCATTCAACTCACCGAGTGGAACATTCCTCTTGATAGAGCAGTTTGGAAACACTTTTTTTTGTAGAATCAGCTTGATTGTATTTGGACCTCCTTGAGGCCTTCGTTGGAAACGGGTTTTCATCTTATAAACCCAGACAGAAGAATTCTCAGAGTCTTCTTTGTGATGTGTGCTTTCAACTCACCGAGATAAAGATTTCTCTTGATAGAGCAATTTGGAAACACTCTTTTTGTAGAATTTGCAAGGGTACATTGAGAGCGCTTTCAGGCCTATGGTAGAAAAGGGAATATCTTTCCATAAAAGGTAGACAGAAGCAATCTCAGAAACTACTTTGTGATGTGTGCATTCAACTCACCGAGTGCAACATTCCTCTTGATAGAGCAGTTTGGAAACATTGTTTCTGTAGAATCTGCAAGTGGATATTTGGACCTCTTTGAGGCCTTCGTTGGAAACGGGATTTCTTCCTATAAACCCAGACAGAAGAATTCTCAGAGACTTCTTTGTGATGTGTGAATTCAACTCACAGTGTGGATCCTTCCTTTTGATAGAGCAGTTTTGAAACACTGTTTTTGTAGTATTTCCAAGCGGATATTTGGAACGCCTTGAAGCGTATGGTAGAAAAGGAAATATCTTCCCATAAAACCTAGACAGAACCCATCTCAGAAACGACTTTGTGATGTCTGCATTCAACTCACAGAGTTGAACATTTCTCTTGATAGAGCAGTTTTGAAACCCTCTTTCTGAAGGATCTGCAAGTGGATATTTGGAACTCCTTTGGGTCTTCGTTGGAAACGGGATTTCTTCGTATAAATCCAGACAGAAGAATTCTCCGAAACTTCTTTGGTTGTGTGCATTCAAGTCACAGAGTGGAACCTTCCTTTGGATAGAGCAGTTTGAAACGCTGTGGTTGTAGTATTTCCAAGCGGATATTAGAGCGCCTTGAAGCCTATGGTAGAAAAGGAAATATCTTCCCATAAAACCTAGACGGAAGCAATCTCAGAAACTACTGTGTGATGGCTGCATTCCACACACACGGTGGAACATTTCTCTTGATAGAGCAGTTTTGAAACACTCTTTCTGTAGAATCTGCAAGTGGATAATTGGACCGCCTTGAGGCCGTCGTTGGAAACGGGATTTCTTCATGTTACTCTAGACAGAAGAATTCTCAAACACTGCTATGTGATGTTTGTATTCAAGTCACAGAGTGCAACATTCCTCTTGATAGAGCAGTTGGGAAACACTCCTTTTGTAGAATTTGCAATGGGATATTTGGACTTCTTTGAGGCCTTCGTTGGAAACGGGATTTCTTCGTATGAATCTAGACAGAAGAATTCTCAGAAACTTCCTTGTGATGTGTGCATTCAACTCAGCGAGTGGCACCTTCCTTTGGATACAGCAGTTTTGAAACACTGTTTTTGTACTATTTCCAAGCGGATATTTAGAGCGCCTTGAAGCCTATGCTAGAAATGGAAATATCTCCCCATAAAACCAAGACAGAAGCAATCTCAGAAACTAATGTGTGATGGCTGCATTCCACACACACGGTGGACCATTTCTCTTGATAGAGCAGTTTTGAAACACTCTTTCTGTAGAATCTGCAAGTGGATAATTGGACCTCCTAGAGGCCTTAGTTGGAAACGGGATTTCTTCATCTAAACCTACAGAGAAGAATTCTCAGTAACTTCTTCGGATGTGTGCATTCGACTCACAGAATGGAACATTCCCTTTGGTAGAGCAGTTTTGAGACACCGTTTTTGTAGAATTCCCAAGTGGATATTTAGAGCACTTTGAAGTCTCTGCTAGAAAAGGAAACATCTTCATGTAAAAAGTAGATAGAATCGTTCTCAGAAAGTGCTTAGTGACGTGTGCGTTCAACTCACAGAGTTTAACGTTTCTTTTGATAGAGCGTTTCTGAAACACCCTTCTTGTAGTAGCTGCAAGTGGATATTTGGACCTATTTGAGGCCTTCTTTGGAAACGGGATTTCTTCATGTAACTCTAGATTGAAGAATTTTCAGAAACTCCTTTGTGATGTGTGCATTCAATTCAAAGAGTGAAACCTCCCTTTTCACAGAGCAGTTTTGAAACACTGTTTTTGTAGGATTTCCAAGGGGATATTTATAGCGCATTGAGCCTATGGCAGAAAAAGAAACATCTTCCTATAAAAACTAGACAGAATAATTCTCAGAATCTGCTTTGCGATGTGTGCGTTCAACTCACAGAGTAAAACTTTTCTTTTGATAGAGCAGTTTTGAAACACTCTTTTTGTAGTATTTGCATGTGTATATTTAGAGCGCATTGAAGCCCACAGTAGAAAAGGAAATAACTTCACCTAAAACCTAGACAGAAGCAATCTCAGAAACTACTTTGTGATGTGTACATTCAACTCACAGAGTGGAACTTTCCTCTTTATAGAGCAGTGTTGAAACACTCTTTTTGTAGAAACTGCAAGTGGATATTTGGACCTCTTTGAGGCCTTCGTTGGAAACGGGATTTCTTCCTATAACCCTAGACAGAAGAATTTTCAGAAACCTCATTGTGATGTGTGCGTTCATCTCACAGAGTGGAGTCTTCCGTTTGATAGAGAAGTTTTGAAACCCTGTTCTTGTAGGATTTCCAAGTGGATATTTAGACCACTTTGAAGCCTATGATAGAAAAGGAAACATCTTCATGGAAAACATAGATAGAATCATTCTCAGAAACAACTTTGTGATGTGTGCGTTGAACTCACCGTCTTTAACCTTTCTTTTGGTAGAGAAGTTTTGAAACACTCTCTTTGTAAAGTCTACAAGTGGATATTTTGAGCCCTTGGAGGCATTCTTTGGAAAAGGGAATGTCTTCACATAAAAGGCAGACAGAAGTGTTCTCAGAAACTGCTTTGTGATGTCTGTGTTCAACTCACAGAGTTTAACATTTCCTTTGAGAGAGCGGTTTAGTAACACTCTCTTTGTAGAATTTGGAAGTGTATACTAAGAGCGCTTTGAGGCCTATGGTAGAAAAGGAAATATCTTTCCATAAAAGCTAGACAGAAGCAATCTCAGAAACTCCTTTGTGATGTCTGCATTCAACTCACCGAGTGGAACATTCCTCTTGATAGAGCAGTTTGGAAACACTCTTTCTGTAGAATCAGCTTGTTTGTATTTGGACCTCCTTGAGGCCTTCGTTGGAAACGGGTTTTCATCTTATAAACCCAGACAGAAGAATTCTCAGAGTCTTCTTTGTGATGTGTGCTTTCAACTCACCGAGATAAAGATTTCTCTTGATAGAGCAATTTGGAAACACTCTTTTTGTAGAATTTGCAAGGGTACATTGAGAGCGCTTTCAGGCCTATGGTAGAAAAGGGAATATCTTTCCATAAAAGGTAGACAGAAGCAATCTCAGAAACTACTTTGTGATGTGTGCATTCAACTCACCGAGTGCAACATTCCTCTTGACCGAGCAGTTTGGAAACATTGTTTCTGTAGAATCTGCAAGTGGATGTTTGGACCTCTTTGAGGCCTTCGTTGGAAACGGGATTTCTTCCTATAAACCCAGACAGAAGAATTCTCAGAGACTTCTTTGTGATGTGTGAATTCAACTCACAGTGTGGATCCTTCCTTTTGATAGAGCAGTTTTGAAACACTGTTTTTGTAGTATTTCCAAGCGGATATTTGGAACGCCTTGAAGCGTATGGTAGAAAAGGAAATATCTTCCCATAAAACCTAGACAGAACCCATCTCAGAAACGACTTTGTGATGTCTGCATTCAACTCACAGAGTTGAACATTTCTCTTGATAGAGCAGTTTTGAAACCCTCTTTCTGAAGGATCTGCAAGTGGATATTTGGAACTCCTTTGGGTCTTCGTTGGAAACGGGATTTCTTCGTATAAATCTAGACAGAAGAATTCTCCGAAACTTCTTTGGTTGTGTGCATTCAAGTCACAGAGTGGAACCTTCCTTTGGATAGAGCAGTTTGAAATGCTGTGGTTGTAGTATTTCCAAGCGGATATTAGAGCGCCTTGAGGCCTATGGTAGAAAAGGAAATATCTTCCCATAAAACCTAGACGGAAGCAATCTCAGAAACTACTGTGTGATGGCTGCATTCCACACACACGGTGGAACATTTCTCTTGATAGAGCAGTTTTGAAACACTCTTTCTGTAGAATCTGCAAGTGGATAATTGGACCGCCTTGAGGCCTTCGTTGGAAACGGGATTTCTTCATGTTACTCTAGATAGAAGAATTCTCAAACACTGCTATGTGATGTTTGCATTCAAGTCACAGAGTGCAACATTCCTCTTGATAGAGCAGTTGGGAAACACTCCTTTTGTAGAATTTGCAATGGGATATTTGGACTTCTTTGAGGCCTTCGTTGGAAACGGGATTTCTTCGTATGAATCTAGACAGAAGAATTCTCAGAAACTTCCTTGTGATGTGTGCATTCAACTCAGCGAGTGGCACCTTCCTTTGGATACAGCAGTTTTGAAACACTGTTTTTGTAGTATTTCCAAGCGGATATTTAGAGCGCCTTGAAGCCTATGCTAGAAATGGAAATATCTCCCCATAAAACCAAGACAGAAGCAATCTCAGAAACTAATGTGTGATGGCTGCATTCCACACACACGGTGGACCATTTCTCTTGATAGAGCAGTTTTGAAACACTCTTTCTGTAGAATCTGCAAGTGGATAATTGGACCTCCTAGAGGCCTTCGTTGGAAACGGGATTTCTTCATCTAAACCTACAGAGAAGAATTCTCAGTAACTTCTTCGGATGTGTGCATTCAACTCACAGAATGGAACATTCCCTTTGATAGAGCAGTTTTGAGACACCGTTTTTGTAGAATTCCCAAGTGGATATTTAGAGCACTTTGAAGTCTCTGCTAGAAAAGGAAACATCTTCATGTAAAAAGTAGATAGAATCGTTCTCAGAAAGTGCTTAGTGACGTGTGCGTTCAACTCACAGAGTTTAACGTTTCTTTTGATAGAGCGTTTCTGAAACACCCTTCTTGTAGTAGCTGCAAGTGGATATTTGGACCTATTTGAGGCCTTCTTTGGAAACGGGATTTCTTCATGTAACTCTAGATTGAAGAATTTTCAGAAACTCCTTTGTGATGTGTGCATTCAATTCAAAGAGTGAAACCTCCCTTTTCACAGAGCAGTTTTGAAACACTGTTTTTGTAGGATTTCCAAGGGGATATTTATAGCGCATTGAGCCTACGGCAGAAAAAGAAACATCTTCCTATAAAAACTAGACAGAATAATTCTCAGAATCTGCTTTGCGATGTGTGCGTTCAACCCACAGAGTAAAACTTTTCTTTTGATAGAGCAGTTTTGAAACACTCTTTTTGTAGTATTTGCATGTGTATATTTAGAGCGCATTGAAGCCCAAAGTAGAAAAGGAAATAACTTCACCTAAAACCTAGACAGAAGCAATCTCAGAAACTACTTTGTGATGTGTACATTCAACTCACAGAGTGGAACTTTTCTCTTTATAGAGCAGTGTTGAAACACTCTTTTTGTAGAAACTGCAAGTGGATATTTGGACCTCTTTGAGGCCTTCGTTGGAAACGGGATTTCTTCCTATAACCCTAGACAGAAGAATTTTCAGAAACCTCATTGTGATGTGTGCGTTCATCTCACAGAGTGGAGTCTTCCGTTTGATAGAGAAGTTTTGAAACCCTGTTCTTGTAGGATTTCCAAGTGGATATTTAGACCACTTTGAAGCCTATGATAGAAAAGGAAACATCTTCATGGAAAACATAGATAGAATCATTCTCAGAAACAACTTTGTGATGTGTGCGTTGAACTCACCGTCTTTAACCTTTCTTTTGGTAGAGAAGTTTTGAAACACTCTCTTTGTAAAGTCTACGAGTGGATATTTTGAGCCCTTGGAGGCATTCTTTGGAAAAGGGAATGTCTTCACATAAAAGGCAGACAGAAGTGTTCTCAGAAACTGCTTTGTGATGTCTGTGTTCAACTCACAGAGTTTAACATTTCCTTTGAGAGAGCGGTTTAGTAACACTCTCTTTGTAGAATTTGGAAGTGTATACTAAGAGCGCCTTGAGGCCTATGGTAGAAAAGGAAATATCTTTCCATAAAAGCTAGACAGAAGCAATCTCAGAAACTCCTTTGTGATGTCTGCATTCAACTCACCGAGTGGAACATTCCTCTTGATAGAGCAGTTTGGAAACACTCTTTCTGTAGAATCAGCTTGTTTGTATTTGGACCTCCTTGAGGCCTTCGTTGGAAACGGGTTTTCATCTTATAAACCCAGACAGAAGAATTCTCAGAGTCTTCTTTGTGATGTGTGTTTTCAACTCACCGAGATAAAGATTTCTCTTGATAGAGCAATTTGGAAACACTCTTTTTGTAGAATTTGCAAGGGTACATTGAGAGCGCTTTCAGGCCTATGGTAGAAAAGGGAATATCTTTCCATAAAAGGTAGACAGAAGCAATCTCAGAAACTACTTTGTGATGTGTGCATTCAACTCACCGAGTGCAACATTCCTCTTGATAGAGCAGTTTGGAAACATTGTTTCTGTAGAATCTGCAAGTGGATATTTGGACCTCTTTGAGGCCTTCGTTGGAAACGGGATTTCTTCCTATAAACCCAGACAGAAGAATTCTCAGAGACTTCTTGGTGATGTGTGAATTCAACTCACAGTGTGGATCCTTCCTTTTGATAGAGCAGTTTTGAAACACCGTTTTTGTAGTATTTCCAAGCGGATATTTGGAACGCCTTGAAGCGTATGGTAGAAAAGGAAATATCTTCCCATAAAACCTAGACAGAACCAATCTCAGAAACGACTTTGTGATGTCTGCATTCAACTCACAGAGTTGAACATTTCTCTTGATAGAGCAGTTTTGAAACCCTCTTTCTGAAGGATCTGCAAGTGGATATTTGGAACTCCTTTGGGTCTTCATTGGAAACGGGATTTCTTCGTATAAATCCAGACAGAAGAATTCTCCGAAACTTCTTTGGTTGTGTGCATTCAAGTCACAGAGTGGAACCTTCCTTTGGATAGAGCAGTTTGAAACGCTCTGGTTGTAGTATTTCCAAGCGGATATTAGAGAGCCTTGAAGCCTATGGTAGAAAAGGAAATATCTTCCCATAAAACCTAGACGGAAGCAATCTCAGAAACTACTGTGTGATGGCTGCATTCCACACACACGGTGGAACATTTCTCTTGATAGAGCAGTTTTGAAACACTCTTTCTGTAGAATCTGCAAGTGGATAATTGGACCGCCTTGAGGCCTTCGTTGGAAACGGGATTTCTTCATGTTACTCTAGACAGAAGAATTCTCAAACACTGCTATGTGATGTTTGCATTCAAGTCACAGAGTGCAACATTCCTCTTGATAGAGCAGTTGGGAAACACTCCTTTTGTAGAATTTGCAATGGGATATTTGGACTTCTTTGAGGCCTTCGTTGGAAACGGGATTTCTTCGTATGAATCTAGACAGAAGAATTCT
Source organism: Homo sapiens (assembly GCF_000001405.40). Lineage (NCBI taxonomy): Eukaryota > Metazoa > Chordata > Mammalia > Primates > Hominidae > Homo > Homo sapiens. The sequence continues at coordinate 59,279,536 of NC_000006.12, forward strand.
CAGAAACTTCCCTTGTGATGTGTGCATTCAACTCAGCGAGTGGCACCTTCCTTTCGATACAGCAGTTTTGAAACACTGTTTTTGTAGTATTTCCAAGCGGATATTTAGAGCGCCTTGAAGCCTATGCTAGAAATGGAAATATCTCCCCATAAAACCAAGACAGAAGCAATCTCAGAAACTAATGTGTGATGGCTGCATTCCACACACACGGTGGACCATTTCTCTTGATAGAGCAGTTTTGAAACACTCTTTCTGTAGAATCTGCAAGTGGATAATTGGACCTCCTAGAGGCCTTCGTTGGAAGCGGGATTTCTTCATCTAAACCTACAGAGAAGAATTCTCAGTAACTTCTTCGGATGTTTGCATTCGACTCACAGAATGGAACATTCCCTTTGATAGAGCAGTTTTGAGACACCGTTTTTGTAGAATTCCCAAGTGGATATTTAGAGCACTTTGAAGTCTCTGCTAGAAAAGGAAACATCTTCATGTAAAAAGTAGATAGAATCGTTCTCAGAAAGTGCTTAGTGACGTGTGCGTTCAACTCACAGAGTTTAACGTTTCTTTTGATAGAGCGTTTCTGAAACACCCTTCTTGTAGTAGCTGCAAGTGGATATTTGGACCTATTTGAGGCCTTCTTTGGAAACGGGATTTCTTCATGTAACTCTAGTTTGAAGAATTTTCAGAAACTCCTTTGTGATGTGTGCATTCAATTCAAAGAGTGAAACCTCCCTTTTCACAGAGCAGTTTTGAAACACTGTTTTTGTAGGATTTCCAAGGGGATATTTATAGCGCATTGAGCCTACGGCAGAAAAAGAAACATCTTCCTATAAAAACTAGACAGAATAATTCTCAGAATCTGCTTTGCGATGTGTGCGTTCAACTCACAGAGTAAAACTTTTCTTTTGATAGAGCAGTTTTGAAACACTCTTTTTGTAGTATTTGCATGTGTATATTGAGAGCGCATTGAAGCCCACAGTAGAAAAGGAAATAACTTCACCTAAAACCTAGACAGAAGCAATCTCAGAAACTACTTTGTGATGTGTACATTCAACTCACAGAGTGGAACTTTTCTCTTTATAGAGCAGTGTTGAAACACTCTTTTTGTAGAAACTGCAAGTGGATATTTGGACCTCTTTGAGGCCTTCGTTGGAAACGGGATTTCTTCCTATAACCCTAGACAGAAGAATTTTCAGAAACCTCATTGTGATGTGTGCGTTCATCTCACAGAGTGGAGTCTTCCGTTTGATAGAGAAGCTTTGAAACCCTGTTCTTGTAGGATTTCCAAGTGGATATTTAGACCACTTTGAAGCCTATGATAGAAAAGGAAACATCTTCATGGAAAACATAGATAGAATCATTGTCAGAAACAACTTTGTGATGTGTGCGTTGAACTCACCGTCTTTAACCTTTCTTTTGGTAGAGAAGTTTTGAAACACTCTCTTTGTAAAGTCTACAAGTGGATATTTTGAGCCCTTGGAGGCATTCTTTGGAAAAGGGAATGTCTTCACATAAAAGGCAGACAGAAGTGTTCTCAGAAACTGCTTTGTGATGTCTGTGTTCAACTCACAGAGTTTAACATTTCCTTTGAGAGAGCGGTTTAGTAACACTCTCTTTGTAGAATTTGGAAGTGTATACTAAGAGCGCTTTGAGGCCTATGGTAGAAAAGGAAATATCTTTCCATAAAAGCTAGACAGAAGCAATCTCAGAAACTCCTTTGTGATGTCTGCATTCAACTCACCGAGTGGAACATTCCTCTTGATAGAGCAGTTTGGAAACACTCTTTCTGTAGAATCAGCTTGTTTGTATTTGGACCTCCTTGAGGCCTTCGTTGGAAACGGGTTTTCATCTTATAAACCCAGACAGAAGAATTCTCAGAGTCTTCTTTGTGATGTGTGCTTTCAACTCACCGAGATAAAGATTTCTCTTGATAGAGCAATTTGGAAACACTCTTTTTGTAGAATTTGCAAGGGTACATTGAGAGCGCTTTCAGGCCTATGGTAGAAAAGGGAATATCTTTCCATAAAAGGTAGACAGAAGCAATCTCAGAAACTACTTTGTGATGTGTGCATTCAACTCCCCGAGTGCAACATTCCTCTTGATAGAGCAGTTTGGAAACATTGTTTCTGTAGAATCTGCAAGTGGATATATGGACCGCTTTGAGGCCTTCGTTGGAAACGGGATTTCTTCCTATAAACCCAGACAGAAGAATTCTCAGAGACTTCTTTGTGATGTGTGAATTCAACTCACAGTGTGGATCCTTCCTTTTGATAGAGCAGTTTTGAAACACTGTTTTTGTAGTATTTCCAAGCGGATATTTGGAACGCCTTGAAGCGTATGGTAGAAAAGGAAATATCTTCCCATAAAACCTAGACAGAACCAATCTCAGAAACGACTTTGTGATGTCTGCATTCAACTCACAGAGTTGAACATTTCTCTTGATAGAGCAGTTTTGAAACCCTCTTTCTGAAGGATCTGCAAGTGGATATTTGGAACTCCTTTGGGTCTTCGTTGGAAACGGGATCTCTTCATATAAATCGAGACAGAAGAATTCTCCGAAACTTCTTTGGTTGTGTGCATTCAAGTCACAGAGTGGAACCTTCCTTTGGATAGAGCAGTTTGAAACGCTGTGGTTGTAGTATTTCCAAGCGGATATTAGAGCGCCTTGAGGCCTATGGTAGAAAAGGAAATATCTTCTCATAAAACCTAGACTTAAGCAATCTCAGAAACTACTGTGTGATGGCTGCATTCCACACACACGGTGGAACATTTCTCTTGATAGAGCAGTTTGGAAACACTCTTTCTGTAGAATCTGCAAGTGGATAATTGGACCGCCTTGAGGCCTTCGTTGGAAACGGGATTTACTTCATGTTACTCTATATAAAAGAATTCTCAAACACTGCTATGTGATGTTTGCATTCAAGTCACAGAGTGCAACATTCCTCTTGATAGAGCAGTTGGGAAACCCTCCTTTTGTAGAATTTGCAATGGGATATTTGGACTTCTTTGAGGCCTTCGTTGGAAACGGGATTTCTTCGTATGAATCTAGACAGAAGAATTCTCAGAAACTTCCTTGTGATGTGTGCATTCAACTCAGCGAGTGGCACCTTCCTTTGGATACAGCAGTTTTGAAACACTGTTTTTGTACTATTTCCAAGCAGATATTTAGAGCGCCTTGAAGCCTATGCTAGAAATGGAAATATCTCCCCATAAAACCAAGACAGAAGCAATCTCAGAAACTAATGTGTGATGGCTGCATTCCACACACACGGTGGACCATTTCTCTTGATAGAGCAGTTTTGAAACACTCTTTCTGTAGAATCTGCAAGTGGATAATTGGACCTCCTAGAGGCCTTCGTTGGAAACGGGATTTCTTCATCTAAACCTACAGAGAAGAATTCTCAGTAACTTCTTCGGATGTGTGCATTCGACTCACAGAATGGAACATTCCGTTTGATAGAGCAGTTTTGAGACACCGTTTTTGTAGAATTCCCAAGTGGATATTTAGAGCACTTTGAAGTCTCTGCTAGAAAAGGAAACATCTTCATGTAAAAAGTAGATAGAATCGTTCTCAGAAAGTGCTTAGTGACGTGTGCGTTCAACTCACAGAGTTTAACATTTCTTTTGATAGAGCGTTTCTGAAACACCCTTCTTGTAGTAGCTGCAAGTGGATATTTGGACCTATTTGAGGCCTTCTTTGGAAACGGGATTTCTTCATGTAACTCTAGTTTGAAGAATTTTCAGAAACTCCTTTGTGATGTGTGCATTCAATTCAAAGAGTGAAACCTCCCTTTTCACAGAGCAGTTTTGAAACACTGTTTTTGTAGGATTTCCAAGGGGATATTTATAGCGCATTGAGCCTACGGCAGAAAAAGAAACATCTTCCTATAAAAACTAGACAGAATAATTCTCAGAATCTGCTTTGCGATGTGTGCGTTCAACTCACAGAGTAAAACTTTTCTTTTGATAGAGCAGTTTTGAAACACTCTTTTTGTAGTATTTGCATGTGTATATTTAGAGCGCCTTGAAGCCCACAGTAGAAAAGGAAATAACTTCACCTAAAACCTAGACAGAAGCAATCTCAGAAACTACTTTGTGATGTGTACATTCAACTCACAGAGTGGAACTTTCCTCTTTATAGAGCAGTGTTGAAACACTCTTTTTGTAGAAACTGCAAGTGGATATTTGGACCTCTTTGAGGCCTTCGTTGGAAACGGGATTTCTTCCTATAACCCTAGACAGAAGAATTTTCAGAAACCTCATTGTGATGTGTGCGTTCATCTCACAGAGTGGAGTCTTCCGTTTGATAGAGAAGTTTTGAAACCCTGTTCTTGTAGGATTTCCAAGTGGATATTTAGACCACTTTGAAGCCTATGATAGAAAAGGAAACATCTTCATGGAAAACATAGATAGAATCATTCTCAGAAACAACTTTGTGATGTGTGCGTTGAACTCACCGTCTTTAACCTTTCTTTTGGTAGAGAAGTTTTGAAACACTCTCTTTGTAAAGTCTACAAGTGGATATTTTGAGCCCTTGGAGGCATTCTTTGGAAAAGGGAATGTCTTCACATAAAAGCAGACAGAAGTGTTCTCAGAAACTGCTTTGTGATGTCTGTGTTCAACTCACAGAGTTTAACATTTCCTTTGAGAGAGCGGTTTAGTAACACTCTCTTTGTAGAATTTGGAAGTGTATACTAAGAGCGCTTTGAGGCCTATGGTAGAAAAGGAAATATCTTTCCATAAAAGCTAGACAGAAGCAATCTCAGAAACTCCTTTGTGATGTCTGCATTCAACTCACCGAGTGGAACATTCCTCTTGATAGAGCAGTTTGGAAACACTCTTTCTGTAGAATCAGCTTGTTTGTATTTGGACCTCCTTGAGGCCTTCGTTGGAAACGGGTTTTCATCTTATAAACCCAGACAGAAGAATTCTCAGAGTCTTCTTTGTGATGTGTGCTTTCAACTCACCGAGATAAAGATTTCTCTTGATAGAGCAATTTGGAAACACTCTTTTTGTAGAATTTGCAAGGGTACATTGAGAGCGCTTTCAGGCCTATGGTAGAAAAGGGAATATCTTTCCATAAAAGGTAGACAGAAGCAATCTCAGAAACTACTTTGTGATGTGTGCATTCAACTCACCGAGTGCAACGTTCCTCTTGACAGAGCAGTTTGGAAACATTGTTTCTGTAGAATCTGCAAGTGGATATTTGGACCTCTTTGAGGCCTTCGTTGGAAACGGGATTTCTTCCTATAAACCCAGACAGAAGAATTCTCAGAGACTTCTTTGTGATGTGTGAATTCAACTCACAGTGTGGATCCTTCCTTTTGATAGAGCAGTTACGAAACACTGTTTTTGTAGTATTTCCAAGCGGATATTTGGAACGCCTTGAAGCGTGTGGTAGAAAAGGAAATATCTTCCCATAAAACCTAGACAGAACCAATCTCAGAAACGACTTTGTGATGTCTGCATTCAACTCACAGAGTTGAACATTTCTCTTGATAGAGCAGTTTTGAAACCCTCTTTCTGAAGGATCTGCAAGTGGATATTTGGAACTCCTTTGGGTCTTCGTTGGAAACGGGATTTCTTCGTATAAATCCAGACAGAAGAATTCTCCGAAACTTCTTTGGTTGTGTGCATTCAAGTCACAGAGTGGAACCTTCCTTTGGATAGAGCAGTTTGAAACGCTGTGGTTGTAGTATTTCCAAGCGGATATTAGAGCGCCTTGAAGCCTATGGTAGAAAAGGAAATATCTTCCCATAAAACCTAGACGGAAGCAATCACGGAAACTACTGTGTGATGGCTGCATTCCACACACACGGTGGAACATTTCTCTTGATAGAGCAGTTTTGAAACACTCTTTCTGTAGAATCTGCAAGTGGATAATTGGACCGCCTTGAGGCCTTCGTTGGAAACGGGATTTCTTCATGTTACTCTAGACAGAAGAATTCTCAAACACTGCTATGTGATGTTTGCATTCAAGTCACAGAGTGCAACATTCCTCTTGATAGAGCAGTTGGGAAACACTCCTTTTGTAGAATTTGCAATGGGATATTTGGACTTCTTTGAGGCCTTCGTTGGAAACGGGATTTCTTCGTATGAATCTAGACAGAAGAATTCTCAGAAACTTCCTTGTGATGTGTGCATTCAACTCAGCGAGTGGCACCTTCCTTTGGATACAGCAGTTTTGAAACACTGTTTTTGTAGTATTTCCAAGCGGATATTTAGAGCGCCTTGAAGCCTATGCTAGAAATGGAAATATCTCCCCATAAAACCAAGACAGAAGCAATCTCAGAAACTAATGTGTGATGGCTGCATTCCACACACACGGTGGACCATTTCTCTTGATAGAGCAGTTTTGAAACACTCTTTCTGTAGAATCTGCAAGTGGATAATTGGACCTCCTAGAGGCCTTCGTTGGAAATGGGATTTCTTCATCTAAACCTACAGAGAAGAATTCTCAGTAACTTCTTCCGGATGTGTGCATTCGACTCACAGAATGGAACATTCCCTTTGATAGAGCAGTTTTGAGACACCGTTTTTGTAGAATTCCCAATTGGATATTTAGAGCACTTTGAAGTCTCTGCTAGAAAAGGAAACATCTTCATGTAAAAAGTAGATAGAATCGTTCTCAGAAAGTGCTTAGTGACGTGTGCGTTCAACTCACAGAGTTTAACGTTTCTTTTGATAGAGCGTTTCTGAAACACCCTTCTTGTAGTAGCTGCAAGTGGATATTTGGACCTATTTGAGGCCTTCTTTGGAAACGGGATTTCTTCATGTAACTCTAGATTGAAGAATTTTCAGAAACTCCTTTGTGATGTGTGCATTCAATTCAAAGAGTGAAACCTCCCTTTTCACAGAGCAGTTTTGAAACACTGTTTTTGTAGGATTTCCAAGGGGATATTTATAGCGCATTGAGCCTATGGCAGAAAAAGAAACATCTTCCTATAAAAACTAGACAGAATAATTCTCAGAATCTGCTTTGCGATGTGTGCGTTCAACTCACAGAGTAAAACTTTTCTTTTGATAGAGCAGTTTTGAAACACTCTTTTTGTAGTATTTGCATGTGTATATTTAGAGCGCATTGAAGCCCACAGTAGAAAAGGAAATAACTTCACCTAAAACCTAGACAGAAGCAATCTCAGAAACTACTTTGTGATGTGTACATTCAACTCACAGAGTGGAACTTTTCTCTTTATAGAGCAGTGTTGAAACACTCTTTTTGTAGAAACTGCAAGTGGATATTTGGACCTCTTTGAGGCCTTCGTTGGAAACGGGATTTCTTCCTATAACCCTAGACAGAAGAATTTTCAGAAACCTCATTGTGATGTGTGCGTTCATCTCACAGAGTGGAGTCTTCCGTTTGATAGAGAAGTTTTGAAACCCTGTTCTTGTAGGATTTCCAAGTGGATATTTAGACCACTTTGAAGCCTATGATAGAAAAGGAAACATCTTCATGGAAAACATAGATAGAATCATTCTCAGAAACAACTTTGTGATGTGTGCGTTGAACTCACCGTCTTTAACCTTTCTTTTGGTAGAGAAGTTTTGAAACACTCTCTTTGTAAAGTCTACAAGTGGATATTTTGAGCCCTTGGAGGCATTCTTTGGAAAAGGGAATGTCTTCACATAAAAGGCAGACAGAAGTGTTCTCAGAAACTGCTTTGTGATGTCTGTGTTCAACTCACAGAGTTTAACATTTCCTTTGAGAGAGCGGTTTAGTAACACTCTCTTTGTAGAATTTGGAAGTGTATACTAAGAGCGCTTTGAGGCCTATGGTAGAAAAGGAAATATCTTTCCATAAAAGCTAGACAGAAGCAATCTCAGAAACTCCTTTGTGATGTCTGCATTCAACTCACCGAGTGGAACATTCCTCTTGATAGAGCAGTTTGGAAACACTCTTTCTGTAGAATCAGCTTGTTTGTATTTGGACCTCCTTGAGGCCTTCGTTGGAAACGGGTTTTCATCTTATAAACCCAGACAGAAGAATTCTCAGAGTCTTCTTTGTGATGTGTGCTTTCAACTCACCGAGATAAAGATTTCTCTTGATAGAGCAATTTGGAAACACTCTTTTTGTAGAATTTGCAAGGGTACATTGAGAGCGCTTTCAGGCCTATGGTAGAAAAGGGAATATCTTTCCATAAAAGGTAGACAGAAGCAATCTCAGAAACTACTTTGTGATGTGTGCATTCAACTCACCGAGTGCAACATTCCTCTTGACCGAGCAGTTTGGAAACATTGTTTCTGTAGAATCTGCAAGTGGATATTTGGACCTCTTTGAGGCCTTCGTTGGAAACGGGATTTCTTCCTATAAACCCAGACAGAAGAATTCTCAGAGACTTCTTTGTGATGTGTGAATTCAACTCACAGTGTGGATCCTTCCTTTTGATAGAGCAGTTTTGAAACACCGTTTTTGTAGTATTTCCAAGCGGATATTTGGAACGCCTTGAAGCGTATGGTAGAAAAGGAAATATCTTCCCATAAAACCTAGACAGAACCAATCTCAGAAACGACTTTGTGATGTCTGCATTCAACTCACAGAGTTGAACATTTCTCTTGATAGAGCAGTTTTGAAACCCTCTTTCTGAAGGATCTGCAAGTGGATATTTGGAACTCCTTTGGGTCTTCGTTGGAAACGGGATTTCTTCGTATAAATCCAGACAGAAGAATTCTCCGAAACTTCTTTGGTTGTGTGCATTCAAGTCACAGAGTGGAACCTTCCTTTGGATAGAGCAGTTTTAAACGCTGTGGTTGTAGTATTTCCAAGCGGATATTAGAGCGCCTTGAAGCCTACGGTAGAAAAGGAAATATCTTCCCATAAAACCTAGACGGAAGCAATCTCAGAAACTACTGTGTGATGGCTGCATTCCACACACACGGTGGAACATTTCTCTTGATAGAGCAGTTTTGAAACACTCTTTCTGTAGAATCTGCAAGTGGATAATTGGACCGCCTTGAGGCCTTCGTTGGAAACGGGATTTCTTCATGTTACTCTAGACAGAAGAATTCTCAAACACTGCTATGTGATGTTTGCATTCAAGTCACAGAGTGCAACATTCCTCTTGATAGAGCAGTTGGGAAACACTCCTTTTGTAGAATTTGCAATGGGATATTTGGACTTCTTTGAGGCCTTCGTTGGAAACGGGATTTCTTCGTATGAATCTAGACAGAAGAATTCTCAGAAACTTCCTTGTGATGTGTGCATTCAACTCAGCGAGTGGCACCTTCCTTTGGATACAGCAGTTTTGAAACACTGTTTTTGTAGTATTTCCAAGCGGATATTTAGAGCGCCTTGAAGCCTATGCTAGAAATGGAAATATCTCCCCATAAAACCAAGACAGAAGCAATCTCAGAAACTAATGTGTGATGGCTGCATTCCACACACACGGTGGACCATTTCTCTTGATAGAGCAGTTTTGAAACACTCTTTCTGTAGAATCTGCAAGTGGATAATTGGAACTCCTAGAGGCCTTCTTTGGAAATGGGATTTCTTCATCTAAACCTACAGAGAAGAATTCTCAGTAACTTCTTCGGATGTGTGCATTCGACTCACAGAATGGAACATTCCCTTTGATAGAGCAGTTTTGAGACACCGTTTTTGTAGAATTCCCAAGTGGATATTTAGAGCACTTTGAAGTCTCTGCTAGAAAAGGAAACATCTTCATGTAAAAAGTAGATAGAATCGTTCTCAGAAAGTGCTTAGTGACGTGTGCGTTCAACTCACAGAGTTTAACGTTTCTTTTGATAGAGCGTTTCTGAAACACCCTTCTTGTAGTAGCTGCAAGTGGATATTTGGACCTATTTGAGGCCTTCTTTGGAAACGGGATTTCTTCATGTAACTCTAGATTGAAGAATTTTCAGAAACTCCTTTGTGATGTGTGCATTCAATTCAAAGAGTGAAACCTCCCTTTTCACAGAGCAGTTTTGAAACACTGTTTTTGTAGGATTTCCAAGGGGATATTTATAGCGCATTGAGCCTATGGCAGAAAAAGAAACATCTTCCTATAAAAACTAGACAGAATAATTCTCAGAATCTGCTTTGCGATGTGTGCGTTCAACCCACAGAGTAAAACTTTTCTTTTGATAGAGCAGTTTTGAAACACTCTTTTTGTAGTATTTGCATGTGTATATTTAGAGCGCATTGAAGCCCACAGTAGAAAAGGAAATAACTTCACCTAAAACCTAGACAGAAGCAATCTCAGAAACTACTTTGTGATGTGTACATTCAACTCACAGAGTGGAACTTTCCTCTTTATAGAGCAGTGTTGAAACACTCTTTTTGTAGAAACTGCAAGTGGATATTTGGACCTCTTTGAGGCCTTCGTTGGAAACGGGATTTCTTCCTATAACCCTAGACAGAAGAATTTTCAGAAACCTCATTGTGATGTGTGCGTTCATCTCACAGTGTGGAGTCTTCCGTTTGATAGAGAAGTTTTGAAACCCTGTTCTTGTAGGATTTCCAAGTGGATATTTAGACCACTTTGAAGCCTATGATAGAAAAGGAAACATCTTCATGGAAAACATAGATAGAATCATTCTCAGAAACAACTTTGTGATGTGTGCGTTGAACTCACCGTCTTTAACCTTTCTTTTGGTAGAGAAGTTTTGAAACACTCTCTTTGTAAAGTCTACAAGTGGATATTTTGAGCCCTTGGAGGCATTCTTTGGAAAAGGGAATGTCTTCACATAAAAGGCAGACAGAAGTGTTCTCAGAAACTGCTTTGTGATGTCTGTGTTCAACTCACAGAGTTTAACATTTCCTTTGAGAGAGCGGTTTAGTAACACTCTCTTTGTAGAATTTGGAAGTGTATACTAAGAGCGCTTTGAGGCCTATGGTAGAAAAGGAAATATCTTTCCATAAAAGCTAGACAGAAGCAATCTCAGAAACTCCTTTGTGATGTCTGCATTCAACTCACCGAGTGGAACATTCCTCTTGATAGAGCAGTTTGGAAACACTCTTTCTGTAGAATCAGCTTGTTTGTATTTGGACCTCCTTGAGGCCTTCGTTGGAAACGGGTTTTCATCTTATAAACCCAGACAGAAGAATTCTCAGAGTCTTCTTTGTGATGTGTGCTTTCAACTCACTGAGATAAAGATTTCTCTTGATAGAGCAATTTGGAAACACTCTTTTTGTAGAATTTGCAAGGGTACATTGAGAACGCTTTCAGGCCTATGGTAGAAAAGGGAATATCTTTCCATAAAAGGTAGACAGAAGCAATCTCAGAAACTACTTTGTGATGTGTGCATTCAACTCACCGAGTGCAACATTCCTCTTGATAGAGCAGTTTGGAAACATTGTTTCTGTAGAATCTGCAAGTGGATATATGGACCGCTTTGAGGCCTTCGTTGGAAACGGGATTTCTTCCTATAAACCAAACAGAAGAATTCTCAGAGATTTCTTTGTGATGTGTGAATTCAACTCACAGTGTGGATCCTTCCTTTTGATAGAGCAGTTTTGAAACACCGTTTTTGTAGTATTTCCAAGCGGATATTTGGAACGCCTTGAAGCGTATGGTAGAAAAGGAAATATCTTCCCATAAAACCTAGACAGAACCAATCTCAGAAACGACTTTGTGATGTCTGCATTCAACTCACAGAGTTGAACATTTCTCTTCATAGAGCAGTTTTGAAACCCTCTTTCTGAAGGATCTGCAAGTGGATATTTGGAACTCCTTTGGGTCTTCGTTGGAAACGGGATTTCTTCGTATAAATCCAGACAGAAGAATTCTCCGAAACTTCTTTGGTTGTGTGCATTCAAGTCACAGAGTGGAACCTTCCTTTGGATAGAGCAGTTTGAAACGCTGTGGTTGTAGTATTTCCAAGCGGATATTAGAGCGCCTTGAAGCCTATGGTAGAAAAGGAAATATCTTCCCATAAAACCTAGACGGAAGCAATCTCAGAAACTACTGTGTGATGGCTGCATTCCACACACATGGTGGAACATTTCTCTTGATAGAGCAGTTTTGAAACACTCTTTCTGTAGAATCTGCAAGTGGATAATTGGACCGCCTTGAGGCCTTCGTTGGAAACGGGATTTCTTCATGTTACTCTAGACAGAAGAATTCTCAAACACTGCTATGTGATGTTTGCATTCAAGTCACAGAGTGCAACATTCCTCTTGATGGAGCAGTTGGGAAACACTCCTTTTGTAGAATTTGCAATGGGATATTAGGACTTCTTTGAGGCCTTCGTTGGAAACGGGATTTCTTCGTATGAATCTAGACAGAAGAATTCTCAGAAACTTCCTTGTGATGTGTGCATTCAACTCAGCGAGTGGCACCTTCCTTTGGATACAGCAGTTTTGAAACACTGTTTTTGTACTATTTCCAAGCGGATATTTAGAGCGCCTTGAAGCCTATGCTAGAAATGGAAATATCTCCCCATAAAACCAAGACAGAAGCAATCTCAGAAACTAATGTGTGATGGCTGCATTCCACACACACGGTGGACCATTTCTCTTGATAGAGCAGTTTTGAAACACTCTTTCTGTAGAAAAGGAAATATCTTCCCATAAAACCTAGACGGAAGCAATCTCAGAAACTACTGTGTGATGGCTGCATTCCACACACACGGTGGAACATTTCTCTTGATAGAGCAGTTTTGAAACACTCTTTCTGTAGAATCTGCAAGTGGATAATTGGACCGCCTTGAGGCCTTCGTTGGAAACGGGATTTCTTCATGTTACTCTAGACAGAAGAATTCTCAAACACTGCTGTGTGATGTTTGCATGCAAGTCACAGAGTGCAACATTCCTCTTGATAGAGCAGTTGGGAAACACTCCTTTTGTAGAATTTGCAATGGGATATTTGGACTTCTTTGAGGCCTTCGTTGGAAACGGGATTTCTTCGTATGAATCTAGACAGAAGAATTCTCAGAAACTTCCTTGTGATGTGTGCATTCAACTCAGCGAGTGGCACCTTCCTTTGGATACAGCAGTTTTGAAACACTGTTTTTGTAGTATTTCCAAGCGGATATTTAGAGCGCCTTGAAGCCTATGCTAGAAATGGAAATATCTCCCCATAAAACCAAGACAGAAGCAATCTCAGAAACTAATGTGTGATGGCTGCATTCCACACACACGGTGGACCATTTCTCTTGATAGAGCAGTTTTGAAACACTCTTTCTGTAGAATCTGCAAGTGGATAATTGGACCTCCTAGAGGCCTTCGTTGGAAACGGGATTTCTTCATCTAAACCTACAGAGAAGAATTCTCAGTAACTTCTTCGGATGTGTGCATTCGACTCACAGAATGGAACATTCCCTTTGATAGAGCAGTTTTGAGACACCGTTTTTGTAGAATTCCCAAGTGGATATTTAGAGCACTTTGAAGTCTCTGCTAGAAAAGGAAACATCTTCATGTAAAAAGTAGATAGAATCGTTCTCAGAAAGTGCTTAGTGACGTGTGCGTTCAACTCACAGAGTTTAACGTTTCTTTTGATAGAGCGTTTCTGAAACACCCTTCTTGTAGTAGCTGCAAGTGGATATTTGGACCTATTTGAGGCCTTCTTTGGAAACGGGATTTCTTCATGTAACTCTAGATTGAAGAATTTTCAGAAACTCCTTTGTGATGTGTGCATTCAATTCAAAGAGTGAAACCTCCCTTTTCACAGAGCAGTTTTGAAACACTGTTTTTGTAGGATTTCCAAGGGGATATTTATAGCGCATTGAGCCTATGGCAGAAAAAGAAACATCTTCCTATAAAAACTAGACAGAATAATTCTCAGAATCTGCTTTGCGATGTGTGCGTTCAACTCACAGAGTAAAACTTTTCTTTTGATAGAGCAGTTTTGAAACACTCTTTTTGTAGTATTTGCATGTGTATATTTAGAGCGCATTGAAGCCCACAGTAGAAAAGGAAATAACTTCACCTAAAACCTAGACAGAAGCAATCTCAGAAACTACTTTGTGATGTGTACATTCAACTCACAGAGTGGAACTTTTCTCTTTATAGAGCAGTGTTGAAACACTCTTTTTGTAGAAACTGCAAGTGGATATTTGGACCTCTTTGAGGCCTTCGTTGGAAACGGGATTTCTTCCTATAACCCTAGACAGAAGAATTTTCAGAAACCTCATTGTGATGTGTGCGTTCATCTCACAGAGTGGAGTCTTCCGTTTGATAGAGAAGTTTTGAAACCCTGTTCTTGTAGGATTTCCAAGTGGATATTTAGACCACTTTGAAGCCTATGATAGAAAAGGAAACATCTTCATGGAAAACATAGATAGAATCATTCTCAGAAACAACTTTGTGATGCGTGCGTAGAACTCACAGTCTTTAACCTTTCTTTTGGTAGAGAAGTTTTGAAACACTCTCTTTGTAAAGTCTACAAGTGGATATTTTGGGCTCTTGGAGGCATTCTCTGGAAAAGGGAATGTCTTCACATAAAAGGCAGACAGAAGTGTTCTCAGAAACTGCTTTGTGATGTCTGTGTTCAACTCACAGAGTTTAACATTTCCTTTGAGAGAGCGGTTTAGTAACACTCTCTTTGTAGAATTTGGAAGTGTATACTAAGAGCGCTTTGAGGCCTATGGTAGAAAAGGAATTATCTTTCCATAAAAGCTAGACAGAAGCAATCTCAGAAACTCCTTTGTGATGTCTGCATTCAACTCACCGAGTGGAACATTCCTCTTGATAGAGCAGTTTGGAAACACTCTTTCTGTAGAATCAGCCTGTTTGTATTTGGACCTCCTTGAGGCCTTCGTTGGAAACGGGTTTTCATCTTATAAACCCAGACAGAAGAATTCTCAGAGTCTTCTTTGTGATGTGTGCTTTCAACTCACCGAGATAAAGATTTCTCTTGATAGAGCAATTTGGAAACACTCTTTTTGTAGAATTTGCAAGGGTACATTGAGAGCGCTTTCAGGCCTATGGTAGAAAAGGGAATATCTTTCCATCAAAGGTAGACAGAAGCAATCTCAGAAACTACTTTGTGATGTGTGCATTCAACTCACCGAGTGCAACATTCCTCTTGACCGAGCAGTTTGGAAACATTGTTTCTGTAGAATCTGCAAGTGGATATTTGGACCTCTTTGAGGCCTTCGTTGGAAACGGGATTTCTTCCTATAAACCCAGACAGAAGAATTCTCAGAGACTTCTTTGTGATGTGTGAATTCAACTCACAGTGTGGATCCTTCCTTTTGATAGAGCAGTTTTGAAACACTGTTTTTGTAGTATTTCCAAGCGGATATTTGGAACGCCTTGAAGCGTATGGTAGAAAAGGAAATATCTTCCCATAAAACCTAGACAGAACCAATCTCAGAAACGACTTTGTGATGTCTGCATTCAACTCACAGAGTTGAACATTTCTCTTGATAGAGCAGTTTTGAAACCCTCTTTCTGAAGGATCTGCAAGTGGATATTTGGAACTCTTTTGGGTCTTCGTTGGAAACGGGATTTCTTCGTATAAATCCAGACAGAAGAATTCTCCGAAACATCTTTGGTTGTGTGCATTCAACTCACAGAGTGGAACCTTCCTTTGGATAGAGCAGTTTGAAACGCTGTGGTTGTAGTATTTCCAAGCGGATATTAGAGCGCCTTGAGGCCTATGGTAGAAAAGGAAATATCTTCCCATAAAACCTAGACGGAAGCAATCTCAGAAACTACTGTGTGATGGCTGCATTCCACACACACGGTGGAACATTTCTCTTGATAGAGCAGTTTTGAAACACTCTTTCTGTAGAATCTGCAAGTGGATAATTGGACCGCCTTGAGGCCTTCGTTGGAAACGGGATTTCTTCATGTTACTCTAGACAGAAGAATTCTCAAACACTGCTGTGTGATGTTTGCATGCAAGTCACAGAGTGCAACATTCCTCTTGATAGAGCAGTTGGGAAACACTCCTTTTGTAGAATTTGCAATGGGATATTTGGACTTCTTTGAGGCCTTCGTTGGAAACGGGATTTCTTCGTATGAATCTAGACAGAAGAATTCTCAGAAACTTCCTTGTGATGTGTGCATTCAACTCAGCGAGTGGCACCTTCCTTTGGATACAGCAGTTTTGAAACACTGTTTTTGTAGTATTTCCAAGCGGATATTTAGAGCGCCTTGAAGCCTATGCTAGAAATGGAAATATCTCCCCATAAAACCAAGACAGAAGCAATCTCAGAAACTAATGTGTGATGGCTGCATTCCACACACACGGTGGACCATTTCTCTTGATAGAGCAGTTTTGAAACACTCTTTCTGTAGAATCTGCAAGTGGATAATTGGACCTCCTAGAGGCCTTCGTTGGAAACGGGATTTCTTCATCTAAACCTACAGAGAAGAATTCTCAGTAACTTCTTCGGATGTGTGCATTCGACTCACAGAATGGAACATTCCGTTTGATAGAGCAGTTTTGAGACACCGTTTTTGTAGAATTCCCAAGTGGATATTTAGAGCACTTTGAAGTCTCTGCTAGAAAAGGAAACATCTTCATGTAAAAAGTAGATAGAATCCGTTCTCAGAAAGTGCTTAGTGACGTGTGTGTTCAACTCACAGAGTTTAACGTTTCTTTTGATAGAGCGTTTCTGAAACACCCTGCTTGTAGTAGCTGCAAGTGGATATTTGGACCTATTTGAGGCCTTCTTTGGAAACGGGATTTCTTCATGTAACTCTAGATTGAAGAATTTTCAGAAACTCCTTTGTGATGTGTGCATTCAATTCAAAGAGTGAAACCTCCCTTTTCACAGAGCAGTTTTGAAACACTGTTTTTGTAGGATTTCCAAGGGGATATTTATAGCGCATTGAGCCTACGGCAGAAAAAGAAACATCTTCCTATAAAAACTAGACAGAATAATTCTCAGAATCTGCTTTGCGATGTGTGCGTTCAACCCACAGAGTAAAACTTTTCTTTTGATAGAGCAGTTTTGAAACACTCTTTTTGTAGTATTTGCATGTGTATATTTAGAGCGCATTGAAGCCCACAGTAGAAAAGGAAATAACTTCACCTAAAACCTAGACAGAAGCAATCTCAGAAACTACTTTGTGATGTGTACATTCAACTCACAGAGTGGAACTTTCCTCTTTATAGAGCAGTGTTGAAACACTCTTTTTGTAGAAACTGCAAGTGGATATTTGGACCTCTTTGAGGCCTTCGTTGGAAACGGGATTTCTTCCTATACCCCTAGACAGAAGAATTTTCAGAAACCTCATTGTGATGTGTGCGTTCATCTCACAGAGTGGAGTCTTCCGTTTGATAGAGAAGTTTTGAAACCCTGTTCTTGTAGGATTTCCAAGTGGATATTTAGACCACTTTGAAGCCTATGATAGAAAAGGAAACATCTTCATGGAAAACATAGATAGAATCATTCTCAGAAACAACTTTGTGATGTGTGCGTTGAACTCACCGTCTTTAACCTTTCTTTTGGTAGAGAAGTTTTGAAACACTCTAAGTCTACAAGTGGATATTTTGAGCCCTTGGAGGCATTCTTTGGAAAAGGGAATGTCTTCACATAAAAGGCAGACAGAAGTGTTCTCAGAAACTGCTTTGTGATGTCTGTGTTCAACTCACAGAGTTTAACATTTCCTTTGAGAGAGCGGTTTAGTAACACTCTCTTTGTAGAATTTGGAAGTGTATACTAAGAGCGCTTTGAGGCCTATGGTAGAAAAGGAAATATCTTTCCATAAAAGCTAGACAGAAGCAATCTCAGAAACTCCTTTGTGATGTCTGCATTCAACTCACCGAGTGGAACATTCCTCTTGATAGAGCAGTTTGGTAACACTCTTTCTGTAGAATCAGCTTGTTTGTATTTGGACCTCCTTGAGGCCTTCGTTGGAAACGGGTTTTCATCTTATAAACCCAGACAGAAGAATTCTCAGAGTCTTCTTTGTGATGTGTGCTTTCAACTCACCGAGATAAAGATTTCTCTTGATAGAGCAATTTGGAAACACTCTTTTTGTAGAATTTGCAAGGGTACATTGAGAGCGCTTTCAGGCCTATGGTAGAAAAGGGAATATCTTTCCATAAAAGGTAGACAGAAGCAATCTCAGAAACTACTTTGTGATGTGTGCATTCAACTCACCGAGTGCAACATTCCTCTTGACCGAGCAGTTTGGAAACATTGTTTCTGTAGAATCTGCAAGTGGATATTTGGACCTCTTTGAGGCCTTCGTTGGAAACGGGATTTCTTCCTATAAACCCAGACAGAAGAATTCTCAGAGACTTCTTTGTGATGTGTGAATTCAACTCACAGTGTGGATCCTTCCTTTTGATAGAGCAGTTTTGAAACACTGTTTTTGTAGTATTTCCAAGCGGATATTTGGAACGCCTTGAAGCGTATGGTAGAAAAGGAAATATCTTCCCATAAAACCTAGACAGAACCAATCTCAGAAACGACTTTGTGATGTCTGCATTCAACTCACAGAGTTGAACATTTCTCTTGATAGAGCAGTTTTGAAACCCTCTTTCTGAAGGATCTGCAAGTGGATATTTGGAACTCCTTTGGGTCTTCGTTGGAAACGGGATTTCTTCGTATAAATCTAGACAGAAGAATTCTCCGAAACATCTTTGGTTGTGTGCATTCAACTCACAGAGTGGAACCTTCCTTTGGATAGAGCAGTTTGAAACGCTGTGGTTGTAGTATTTCCAAGCGGATATTAGAGCGCCTTGAGGCCTATGGTAGAAAAGGAAATATCTTCCCATAAAACCTAGACGGAAGCAATCTCAGAAACTACTGTGTGATGGCTGCATTCCACACACACGGTGGAACATTTCTCTTGATAGAGCAGTTTTGAAACACTCTTTCTGTAGAATCTGCAAGTGGATAATTGGACCGCCTTGAGGCCTTCGTTGGAAACGGGATTTCTTCATGTTACTCTAGACAGAAGAATTCTCAAACACTGCTATATGATGTTTGCATGCAAGTCACAGAGTGCAACATTCCTCTTGATAGAGCAGTTGGGAAACACTCCTTTTGTAGAATTTGCAATGGGATATTTGGACTTCTTTGAGGCCTTCGTTGGAAACGGGATTTCTTCGTATGAATCTAGACAGAAGAATTCTCAGAAACTTCCTTGTGATGTGTGCATTCAACTCAGCGAGTGGCACCTTCCTTTGGATACAGCAGTTTTGAAACACTGTTTTTGTAGTATTTCCAAGCGGATATTTAGAGCGCCTTGAAGCCTATGCTAGAAATGGAAATATCTCCCCATAAAACCAAGACAGAAGCAATCTCAGAAACTAATGTGTGATGGCTGCATTCCACACACACGGTGGACCATTTCTCTTGATAGAGCAGTTTTGAAACACTCTTTCTGTAGAATCTGCAAGTGGATAATTGGACCTCCTAGAGGCCTTCGTTGGAAACGGGATTTCTTCATCTAAACCTACAGAGAAGAAGTCTCAGTAACTTCTTCGGATGTGTGCATTCGACTCACAGAATGGAACATTCCGTTTGATAGAGCAGTTTTGAGACACCGTTTTTGTAGAATTCCCAAGTGGATATTTAGAGCACTTTGAAGTCTCTGCTAGAAAAGGAAACATCTTCATGTAAACAGTAGATAGAATCGTTCTCAGAAAGTGCTTAGTGACGTGTGCGTTCAACTCACAGAGTTTAACGTTTCTTTTGATAGAGCGTTTCTGAAACACCCTGCTTGTAGTAGCTGCAAGTGGTTATTTGGACCTATTTGAGGCCTTCTTTGGAAACGGGATTTCTTCATGTAACTCTAGTTTGAAGAATTTTCAGAAACTCTTTGTGATGTGTGCATTCAATTCAAAGAGTGAAACGTCCCTTTTCACAGAGCAGTTTTGAAACACTGTTTTTGTGGGATTTCCAAGGGGATATTTATAGCACATTGAGCCTACGGCAGAAAAAGAAACATCTTCCTATAAAAACTAGACAGAATAATTCTCAGAATCTGCTTTGCGATGTGTGCGTTCAACCCACAGAGTAAAACTTTTCTTTTGATAGAGCAGCTTTGAAACACTCTTTTTGTAGTATTTGCATGTGTATATTTAGAGCGCATTGAAGCCCACAGTAGAAAAGGAAATAACTTCACCTAAAACCTAGACAGAAGCAATCTCAGAAACTACTTTGTGATGTGTACATTCAACTCACAGAGTGGAACTTTCCTCTTTATAGAGCAGTGTTGAAACACTCTTTTTGTAGAAACTGCAAGTGGATATTTGGACCTCTTTGAGGCCTTCGTTGGAAACGGGATTTCTTCCTATAACCCTAGACAGAAGAATTTTCAGAAACCTCATTGTGATGTGTGCGTTCATCTCACAGAGTGGAGTCTTCCGTTTGATAGAGAAGTTTTGAAACCCTGTTCTTGTAGGATTTCCAAGTGGATATTTAGACCACTTTGAAGCCTATGATAGAAAAGGAAACATGTTCATGGAAAACATAGATAGAATCATTCTCAGAAACAACTTTGTGATGTGTGCGTTGAACTCACCGTCTTTAACCTTTCTTTTGGTAGAGAAGTTTTGAAACACTCTCTTTGTAAAGTCTACAAGTGGATATTTTGAGCCCTTGGAGGCATTCTTTGGAAAAGGGAATGTCTTCACATAAAAGGCAGACAGAAGTGTTCTCAGAAACTGCTTTGTGATGTCTGTGTTCAACTCACAGAGTTTAACATTTCCTTTGAGAGAGCGGTTTAGTAACACTCTCTTTGTAGAATTTGGAAGTGTATACTAAGAGCGCTTTGAGGCCTATGGTAGAAAAGGAACTATCTTTCCATAAAAGCTAGACAGAAGCAATCTCAGAAACTCCTTTGTGATGTCTGCATTCAACTCACCGAGTGGAACATTCCTCTTGATAGAGCAGTTTGGAAACACTCTTTCTGTAGAATCAGCTTGTTTGTATTTGGACCTCCTTGAGGCCTTCGTTGGAAACGGGTTTTCATCTTATAAACCCAGACAGAAGAATTCTCAGAGTCTTCTTTGTGATGTGTGCTTTCAACTCACCGAGATAAAGATTTCTCTTGATAGAGCAATTTGGAAACACTCTTTTTGTAGAATTTGCAAGGGTACATTGAGAGCGCTTTCAGGCCTATGGTAGAAAAGGGAATATCTTTCCATCAAAGGTAGACAGAAGCAATCTCAGAAACTACTTTGTGATGTGTGCATTCAACTCACCGAGTGCAACATTCCTCTTGACCGAGCAGTTTGGAAACATTGTTTCTGTAGAATCTGCAAGTGGATATATGGACCGCTTTGAGGCCTTCGTTGGAAACGGGATTTCTTCCTATAAACCCAGACAGAAGAATTCTCAGAGATTTCTTTGTGATGTGTGAATTCAACTCACAGTGTGGATCCTTCCTTTTGATAGAGCAGTTTTGAAACACTGTTTTTGTAGTATTTCCAAGCGGATATTTGGAACGCCTTGAAGCGTACGGTAGAAAAGGAAATATCTTCCCATAAAACCTAGACAGAACCCATCTCAGAAACGACTTTGTGATGTCTGCATTCAACTCACAGAGTTGAACATTTCTCTTGATAGAGCAGTTTTGAAACCCTCTTTCTGAAGGATCTGCAAGTGGATATTTGGAACTCCTTTGGGTCTTCGTTGGAAACGGGATTTCTTCATATAAATCCAGACAGAAGAATTCTCCGAAACTTCTTTGGTTGTGTGCATTCAAGTCACAGAGTGGAACCTTCCTTTGGATAGAGCAGTTTGAAACGCTGTGGTTGTAGTATTTCCAAGCGGATATTAGAGCGCCTTGAGGCCTATGGTAGAAAAGGAAATATCTTCCCATAAAACCTAGACGGAAGCAATCTCAGAAACTACTGTGTGATGGCTGCATTCCACACACACGGTGGAACATTTCTCTTGATAGAGCAGTTTTGAAACACTCTTTCTGTAGAATCTGCAAGTGGATAATTGGACCGCCTTGAGGCCTTCGTTGGAAACGGGATTTCTTCATGTTACTCTAGACAGAAGAATTCTCAAACACTGCTGTGTGATGTTTGCATGCAAGTCACAGAGTGCAACATTCCTCTTGATAGAGCAGTTGGGAAACACTCCTTTTGTAGAATTTGCAATGGGATATTTGGACTTCTTTGAGGCCTTCGTTGGAAACGGGATTTCTTCGTATGAATCTAGACAGAAGAATTCTCAGAAACTTCCTTGTGATGTGTGCATTCAACTCAGCGAGTGGCACCTTCCTTTGGATACAGCAGTTTTGAAACACTGTTTTTGTAGTATTTCCAAGCGGATATTTAGAGCGCCTTGAAGCCTATGCTAGAAATGGAAATATCTCCCCATAAAACCAAGACAGAAGCAATCTCAGAAACTAATGTGTGATGGCTGCATTCCACACACACGGTGGACCATTTCTCTTGATAGAGCAGTTTTGAAACACTCTTTCTGTAGAATCTGCAAGTGGATAATTGGACCTCCTAGAGGCCTTCGTTGGAAACGGGATTTCTTCATCTAAACCTACAGAGAAGAATTCTCAGTAACTTCTTCGGATGTGTGCATTCGACTCACAGAATGGAACATTCCCTTTGGTAGAGCAGTTTTGAGACACCGTTTTTGTAGAATTCCCAAGTGGATATTTAGAGCACTTTGAAGTCTCTGCTAGAAAAGGAAACATCTTCATGTAAAAAGTAGATAGAATCGTTCTCAGAAAGTGCTTAGTGACGTGTGCGTTCAACTCACAGAGTTTAACGTTTCTTTTGATAGAGCGTTTCTGAAACACCCTTCTTGTAGTAGCTGCAAGTGGATATTTGGACCTATTTGAGGCCTTCTTTGGAAACGGGATTTCTTCATGTAACTCTAGATTGAAGAATTTTCAGAAACTCCTTTGTGATGTGTGCATTCAATTCAAAGAGTGAAACCTCCCTTTTCACAGAGCAGTTTTGAAACACTGTTTTTGTAGGACTTCCAAGGGGATATTTATAGCGCATTGAGCCTATGGCAGAAAAAGAAACATCTTCCTATAAAAACTAGACAGAATAATTCTCAGAATCTGCTTTGCGATGTGTGCGTTCAACCCACAGAGTAAAACTTTTCTTTTGATAGAGCAGTTTTGAAACACTCTTTTTGTAGTATTTGCATGTGTATATTTAGAGCGCATTGAAGCCCACAGTAGAAAAGGAAATAACTTCACCTAAAACCTAGACAGAAGCAATCTCAGAAACTACTTTGTGATGTGTACATTCAACTCACAGAGCGGAACTTTCCTCTTTATAGAGCAGTGTTGAAACACTCTTTTTGTAGAAACTGCAAGTGGATATTTGGACCTCTTTGAGGCCTTCGTTGGAAACGGGATTTCTTCCTATAACCCTAGACAGAAGAATTTTCAGAAACCTCATTGTGATGTGTGCGTTCATCTCACAGAGTGGAGTGTTCCGTTTGATAGAGAAGTTTTGAAACCCTGTTCTTGTAGGATTTCCAAGTGGATATTTAGACCACTTTGAAGCCTATGATAGAAAAGGAAACATCTTCATGGAAAACATAGATAGAATCATTCTCAGAAACAACTTTGTGATGTGTGCGTTGAACTCACCGTCTTTAACCTTTCTTTTGGTAGAGAAGTTTTGAAACACTCTCTTTGTAAAGTCTACAAGTGGATATTTTGAGCCCTTGGAGGCATTCTTTGGAAAAGGGAATGTCTTCACATAAAAGGCAGACAGAAGTGTTCTCAGAAACTGCTTTGTGATGTCTGTGTTCAACTCACAGAGTTTAACATTTCCTTTGAGAGAGCGGTTTAGTAACACTCTCTTTGTAGAATTTGGAAGTGTATACTAAGAGCGCTTTGAGGCCTATGGTAGAAAAGGAAATATCTTTCCATAAAAGCTAGACAGAAGCAATCTCAGAAACTCCTTTGTGATGTCTGCATTCAACTCACCGAGTGGAACATTCCTCTTGATAGAGCAGTTTGGAAACACTCTTTCTGTAGAATCAGCTTGTTTGTATTTGGACCTCCTTGAGGCCTTCGTTGGAAACGGGTTTTCATCTTATAAACCCAGACAGAAGAATTCTCAGAGTCTTCTTTGTGATGTGTGCTTTCAACTCACCGAGATAAAGATTTCTCTTGATAGAGCAATTTGGAAACACTCTTTTTGTAGAATTTGCAAGGGTACATTGAGAGCGCTTTCAGGCCTATGGTAGAAAAGGTAGACAGAAGCAATCTCAGAAACTACTTTGTGATGTGTGCATTCAACTCACCGAGTGCAACATTCCTCTTGATAGAGCAGTTTGGAAACATTGTTTCTGTAGAATCTGCAAGTGGATATATGGACCGCTTTGAGGCCTTCGTTGGAAACGGGATTTCTTCCTATAAACCCAGACAGAAGAATTCTCAGAGACTTCTTTGTGATGTGTGAATTCAACTCACAGTGTGGATCCTTCCTTTTGATAGAGCAGTTTTGAAACACTGTTTTTGTAGTATTTCCAAGCGGATATTTGGAACGCCTTGAAGCGTATGGTAGAAAAGGAAATATCTTCCCATAAAACCTAGACAGAACCCATCTCAGAAACGACTTTGTGATGTCTGCATTCAACTCACAGAGTTGAATATTTCTCTTGATAGAGCAGTTTTGAAACCCTCTTTCTGAAGGATCTGCAAGTGGATATTTGGAACTCCTTTGGGTCTTCGTTGGAAACGGGATTTCTTCGTATAAATCCAGACAGAAGAATTCTCCGAAACTTCTTTGGTTGTGTGCATTCAAGTCACAGAGTGGAACCTTCCTTTGGATAGAGCAGTTTGAAACGCTGTGGTTGTAGTATTTCCAAGCGGATATTAGAGCGCCTTGAAGCCTATGGTAGAAAAGGAAATATCTTCCCATAAAACCTAGACGGAAGCAATCTCAGAAACTACTGTGTGATGGCTGCATTCCACACACACGGTGGAACATTTCTCTTGATAGAGCAGTTTTGAAACACTCTTTCTGTAGAATCTGCAAGTGGATAATTGGACCGCCTTGAGGCCTTCGTTGGAAACGGGATTTCTTCATGTTACTCTAGACAGAAGAATTCTCAAACACTGCTATGTGATGTTTGCATTCAAGTCACAGAGTGCAACATTCCTCTTGATAGAGCAGTTGGGAAACACTCCTTTTGTAGAATTTGCAATGGGATATTTGGACTTCTTTGAGGCCTTCGTTGGAAACGGGATTTCTTCGTATGAATCTAGACAGAAGAATTCTCAGAAACTTCCTTGTGATGTGTGCATTCAACTCAGCGAGTGGCACCTTCCTTTGGATACAGCAGTTTTGAAACACTGTTTTTGTAGTATTTCCAAGCGGATATTTAGAGCGCCTTGAAGCCTATGCTAGAAATGGAAATATCTCCCCATAAAACCAAGACAGAAGCAATCTCAGAAACTAATGTGTGATGGCTGCATTCCACACACACGGTGGACCATTTCTCTTGATAGAGCAGTTTTGAAACACTCTTTCTGTAGAATCTGCAAGTGGATAATTGGACCTCCTAGAGGCCTTCGTTGGAAACGGGATTTCTTCATCTAAACCTACAGAGAAGAATTCTCAGTAACTTCTTCGGATGTGTGCATTCGACTCACAGAATGGAACATTCCCTTTGATAGAGCAGTTTTGAGACACCGTTTTTGTAGAATTCCCAAGTGGATATTTAGAGCACTTTGAAGTCTCTGCTAGAAAAGGAAACATCTTCATGTAAAAAGTAGATAGAATCGTTCTCAGAAAGTGCTTAGTGACGTGTGCGTTCAACTCACAGAGTTTAACGTTTCTTTTGATAGAGCGTTTCTGAAACACCCTTCTTGTAGTAGCTGCAAGTGGATATTTGGACCTATTTGAGGCCTTCTTTGGAAACGGGATTTCTTCATGTAACTCTAGATTGAAGAATTTTCAGAAACTCCTTTGTGAAGTGTGCATTCAATTCAAAGAGTGAAACCTCCCTTTTCACAGAGCAGTTTTGAAACACTGTTTTTGTAGGATTTCCAAGGGGATATTTATAGCGCATTGAGCCTATGGCAGAAAAAGAAACATCTTCCTATAAAAACTAGACAGAATAATTATCAGAATCTGCTTTGCGATGTGTGCGTTCAACTCACAGAGTAAAACTTTTCTTTTGATAGAGCAGTTTTGAAACACTCTTTTTGTAGTATTTGCATGTGTATATTTAGGGCGCATTGAAGCCCACAGTAGAAAAGGAAATAACTTCACCTAAAACCTAGACAGAAGCAATCAAAGAAACTACTTTGTGATGTGTACATTCAACTCACAGAGTGGAACTTTCCTCTTTATAGAGCAGTGTTGAAACACTCTTTTTGTAGAAACGGCAAGTGGATATTTGGACCTCTTTGAGGCCTTCGTTGGAAACGGGATTTCTTCCTATAACCCTAGACAGAAGAATTTTCAGAAACCTCATTGTGATGTGTGCGTTCATCTCACAGAGTGGAGTCTTCCGTTTGATAGAGAAGTTTTGAAACCCTGTTCTTGTAGGATTTCCAAGTGGATATTTAGCCCACTTTGAAGCCTATGATAGAAAAGGAAACATCTTCATGGAAAACATAGATAGAATCATTCTCAGAAACAACTTTGTGATGTGTGCGTTGAACTCACCGTCTTTAACCTTTCTTTTGGTAGAGAAGTTTTGAAACACTCTCTTTGTAAAGTCTACAAGTGGATATTTTGAGCCCTTGGAGGCATTCTTTGGAAAAGGGAATGTCTTCACATAAAAGGCAGACAGAAGTGTTCTCAGAAACTGCTTTGTGATGTCTGTGTTCAACTCACAGAGTTTAACATTTCCTTTGAGAGAGCGGTTTAGTAACACTCTCTTTGTAGAATTTGGAAGTGTATACTAAGAGCGCTTTGAGGCCTATGGTAGAAAAGGAAATATCTTTCCATAAAAGCTAGACAGAAGCAATCTCAGAAACTCCTTTGTGATGTCTGCATTCAACTCACCGAGTGGAACATTCCTCTTGATAGAGCAGTTTGGAAACACTCTTTCTGTAGAATCAGCTTGTTTGTATTTGGACCTCCTTGAGGCCTTCGTTGGAAACGGGTTTTCATCTTATAAACCCAGACAGAAGAATTCTCAGAGTCTTCTTTGTGATGTGTGCTTTCAACTCACCGAGATAAAGATTTCTCTTGATAGAGCAATTTGGAAACACTCTTTTTGTAGAATTTGCAAGGGTACATTGAGAGCGCTTTCAGGCCTATGGTAGAAAAGGGAATATCTTTCCATAAAAGGTAGACAGAAGCAATCTCAGAAACTACTTTGTGATGTGTGCATTCAACTCACCGAGTGCAACATTCCTCTTGACCGAGCAGTTTGGAAACATTGTTTCTGTAGAATCTGCAAGTGGATATTTGGACCTCTTTGAGGCCTTCGTTGGAAACGGGATTTCTTCCTATAAACCCAGACAGAAGAATTCTCAGAGATTTCTTTGTGATGTGTGAATTCAACTCACAGTGTGGATCCTTCCTTTTGATAGAGCAGTTTTGAAACACCGTTTTTGTAGTATTTCCAAGCGGATATTTGGAACGCCTTGAAGCGTATGGTAGAAAAGGAAATATCTTCCCATAAAACCTAGACAGAACCAATCTCAGAAACGACTTTGTGATGTCTGCATTCAACTCACAGAGTTGAACATTTCTCCTGATAGAGCAGTTTTGAAACCCTCTTTCTGAAGGATCTGCAAGTGGATATTTGGAACTCCGTTGGGTCTTCGTTGTAAACGGGATTTCTTCGTATAAATCCAGACAGAAGAATTCTCCGAAACTTCTTTGGTTGTGTGCATTCAAGTCACAGAGTGGAACCTTCCTTTGGATAGAGCAGTTTGAAACGCTGTGGTTGTAGTATTTCCAAGCGGATATTAGAGCGCCTTGAAGCCTATGGTAGAAAAGGAAATATCTTCCCATAAAACCTAGACGGAAGCAATCTCAGAAACTACTTTGTGATGGCTGCATTCCACACACACGGTGGAACATTTCTCTTGATAGAGCAGTTTTGAAACACTCTTTCTGTAGAATCTGCAAGTGGATAATTGGACCGCCTTGAGACCTTCGTTGGAAACGGGATTTCTTCATGTTACTCTAGACAGAACAATTCTCAAACACTGCTATGTGATGTTTGCATTCAAGTCACAGAGTGCAACATTCCTCTTGATAGAGCAGTTGGGAAACACTCCTTATGTAGAATTTGCAATGGGATATTTGGACTTCTTTGAGGCCTTCGTTGGAAACGGGATTTCTTCGTATGAATCTAGACAGAAGAATTCTCAGAAACTTCCTTGTGATGTGTGCATTCAACTCAGCGAGTGGCACCTTCCTTTGGATACAGCAGTTTTGAAACACTGTTTTTGTAGTATTTCCAAGCGGATATTTAGAGCGCCTTGAAGCCTATGCTAGAAATGGAAATATCTCCCCATAAAACCAAGACAGAAACAATCTCAGAAACTAATGTGTGATGGCTGCATTCCACACACACGGTGGACCATTTCTCTTGATAGAGCAGTTTTGAAACACTCTTTCTGTAGAATCTGCAAGTGGATAATTGGACCTCCTAGAGGCCCTTCGTTGGAAACGGGATTTCTTCATCTAAACCTACAGAGAAGAATTCTCAGTAACTTCTTCGGATGTGTGCATTCGACTCACAGAATGGAACATTCCGTTTGATAGAGCAGTTTTGAGACACCGTTTTTGTAGAATTCCCAAGTGGATATTTAGAGCACTTTGAAGTCTCTGCTAGAAAAGGAAACATCTTCATGTAAAAAGTAGATAGACTCGTTCTCAGAAAGTGCTTAGTGACGTGTGTGTTCAACTCACAGAGTTTAACGTTTCTTTTGATAGAACGTTTCTGAAACACCCTTCTTGTAGTAGCTGCAAGTGGATATTTGGACCTATTTGAGGCCTTCTTTGGAAACGGGATTTCTTCATGTATCTCTAGATTGAAGAAATTTCAGAAACTCCTTTGTGATGTGTGCATTCAATTCAAAGAGTGAAACCTCCCTTTTCACAGAGCAGTTTTGAAACACTGTTTTTGTAGGATTTCCAAGGGGATATTTATAGCGCATTGATCCTATGGCAGAAAAAGAAACATCTTCCTATAAAAACTAGACAGAATAATTCTCAGAATCTGCTTTGCGATATGTGCGTTCAACCCACAGAGTAAAACTTTTCTTTTGATAGAGCAGTTTTGAAACACTCTTTTTGTAGTATTTGCATGTGTATATTTAGAGCGCATTGAAGCCCACAGTAGAAAAGGAAATAACTTCACCTAAAACCTAGACAGAAGCAATCTCAGAAACTACTTTGTGATGTGTACATTCCACTCACAGAGTGGAACTTTCCTCTTTATAGAGCAGTGTTGAAACACTCTTTTTGTAGAAACTGCAAGTGGATATTTGGACCTCTTTGAGGCCTTCGTTGGAAACGGGATTTCTTCCTATAACCCTAGACAGAAGAATTTTCAGAAACCTCATTGTGATGTGTGCGTTCATCTCACAGAGTGGAGTCTTCCGTTTGATAGAGAAGTTTTGAAACCCTGTTCTTGTAGGATTTCCAAGTGGATATTTAGACCACTTTGAAGCCTATGATAGAAAAGGAAACATCTTCATGGAAAACATAGATAGAATCATTCTCAGAAACAACTTTGTGATGTGTGCGTTGAACTCACCGTCTTTAACCTTTCTTTTGGTAGAGAAGTTTTGAAACACTCTCTTTGTAAAGTCTACAAGTGGATATTTTGAGCCCTTGGAGGCATTCTTTGGAAAAGGGAATGTCTTCACATAAAAGGCAGACAGAAGTGTTCTCAGAAACTGCTTTGTGATGTCTGTGTTCAACTCACAGAGTTTAACATTTCCTTTGAGAGAGCGGTTTAGTAACACTCTCTTTGTAGAATTTGGAAGTGTATACTAAGAGCGCTTTGAGGCCTATGGTAGAAAAGGAATTATCTTTCCATAAAAGCTAGACAGAAGCAATCTCAGAAACTCCTTTGTGATGTCTGCATTCAACTCACCGAGTGGAACATTCCTCTTGATAGAGCAGTTTGGAAACACTCTTTCTGTAGAATCAGCTTGTTTGTATTTGGACCTCCTTGAGGCCTTCGTTGGAAACGGGTTTTCATCTTATAAACGCAGACAGAAGAATTCTCAGAGTCTTCTTTGTGATGTGTGCTTTCAACTCACCGAGATAAAGATTTCTCTTGATAGAGCAATTTGGAAACACTCTTTTTGTAGAATTTGCAAGGGTACATTGAGAGCGCTTTCAGGCCTATGGTAGAAAAGGGAATATCTTTCCATAAAAGGTAGACAGAAGCAATCTCAGAAACTACTTTGTGATGTGTGCATTCAACTCACCGAGTGCAACATTCCTCTTGATAGAGCAGTTTGGAAACATTGTTTCTGTAGAATCTGCAAGTGGATATATGGACCGCTTTGAGGCCTTCGTTGGAAACGGGATTTCTTCCTATAAACCCAGACAGAAGAATTCTCAGAGATTTCTTTGTGATGTGTGAATTCAACTCACAGTGTGGATCCTTCCTTTTGATAGAGCAGTTTTGAAACACTGTTTTTGTAGTATTTCCAAGCGGATATTTGGAACGCCTTGAAGCGTATGGTAGAAAAGGAAATATCTTCCCATAAAACCTAGACAGAACCAATCTCAGAAACGAATTTGTGATGTCTGCATTCAACTCACAGAGTTGAACATTTCTCTTGATAGAGCAGTTTTGAAACCCTCTTTCTGAAGGATCTGCAAGTGGATATTTGGAACTCCTTTGGGTCTTCGTTGGAAACGGGATTTCTTCGTACAAATCTAGACAGAAGAATTCTCCGAAACTTCTTTGGTTGTGTGCATTCAATTCACAGAGTGGAACCTTCCTTTGGATAGAGCAGTTTGAAACGCTGTGGTTGTAGTATTTCCAAGCGGATATTAGAGCGCCTTGAAGCCTATGGTAGAAAAGGAAATATCTTCCCATAAAACCTAGACGGAAGCAATCTCAGAAACTACTGTGTGATGGCTGCATTCCACACACACGGTGGAACATTTCTCTTGATAGAGCAGTTTTGAAACACTCTTTCTGTAGAATCTGCAAGTGGATAATTGGACCGCCTTGAGGCCTTCGTTGGAAACGGGATTTCTTCATGTTACTCTAGATAGAAGAATTCTCAAACACTACTATGTGATGTTTGCATTCAAGTCACAGAGTGCAACATTCCTCTTCATAGAGCAGTTGGGAAACACTCCTTTTGTAGAATGTGCAATGGGATATTTGGACTTCTTTGAGGCCTTCGTTGGAAACGGGGTTTCTTCGTATGAATCTAGACAGAAGAATTCTCAGGAAACTTCCTTGTGATGTGTGCATTCAACTCAGCGAGCGGCACCTTCCTTTGGATACTGCAGTTTTGAAACACAGTTTTTGTAGTATTTCCAAGCGGATATTTAGAGCGCCTTGAAGCCTATGCTAGAAATGGAAATATCTCCCCATAAAACCAAGACAGAAGCAATCTCAGAAACTAATGTGTGATGGCTGCATTCCACACACACGGTGGACCATTTCTCTTGATAGAGCAGTTTTGAAACACTCTTTCTGTAGAATCTGCAAGTGGATAATTGGACCTCCTAGAGGCCTTCGTTGGAAACGGGATTTCTTCATCTAAACCTACAGAGAAGAATTCTCAGTAACTTCTTCGGATGTGTGCATTCGACTCACAGAATGGAACATTCTGTTTGATAGAGCAGTTTTGAGACACCGTTTTTGTAGAATTCCCAAGTGGATATTTAGAGCACTTTGATGTCTCTGCTAGAAAAGGAAACATCTTCATGTAAAAAGTAGATAGAATCGTTCTCAGAAAGTGCTTAGTGACGTGTGCGTTCAACTCACAGAGTTTAACGTTTCTTTTGATAGAGCGTTTCTGAAACACCCTTCTTGTAGTAGCTGCAAGTGGATATTTGGACCTATTTGAGGCCTTCTTTGGAAACGGGATTTCTTCATGTAACTCTAGTTTGAAGAATATTCAGAAACTCCTTTGTGATGTGTGCATTCAATTCAAAGAGTGAAACCTCCCTTTTCACAGAGCAGTTTTGAAACACTGTTTTTGTAGGATTTCCAAGGGGATATTTATAGCGCATTGAGCCTACGGCAGAAAAAGAAACATCTTCCTATAAAAACTAGACAGAATAATTCTCAGAATCTGCTTTGCGATGTGTGCGTTCAACCCACAGAGTAAAACTTTTCTTTTGATAGAGCAGTTTTGAAACACTCTTTTTGTAGTATTTGCATGTGTATATTTAGAGCGCATTGAAGCCCACAGTAGAAAAGGAAATAACTTCACCTAAAACCTAGACAGAAGCAATCTCAGAAACTACTTTGTGATGTGTACATTCAACTCACAGAGTGGAACTTTCCTCTTTATAGAGCAGTGTTGAAACACTCTTTTTGTAGAAACTGCAAGTGGATATTTGGACCTCTTTGAGGCCTTCGTTGGAAACGGGATTTCTTCCTATAACCCTAGACAGAAGAATTTTCAGAAACCTCATTGTGATGTGTGCGTTCATCTCACAGAGTGGAGTGTTCCGTTTGATAGAGAAGTTTTGAAACCCTGTTCTTGTAGGATTTCCAAGTGGATATTTAGACCACTTTGAAGCCTATGATAGAAAAGGAAACATCTTCATGGAAAACATAGATAGAATCATTCTCAGAAACAACTTTGTGATGTGTGCGTTGAACTCACCGTCTTTAACCTTTCTTTTGGTAGAGAAGTTTTGAAACACTCTCTTTGTAAAGTCTACGAGTGGATATTTTGAGCCCTTGGAGGCATTCTTTGGAAAAGGGAATGTCTTCACATAAAAGGCAGACAGAAGTGTTCTCAGAAACTGCTTTGTGATGTCTGTGTTCAACTCACAGAGTTTAACATTTCCTTTGAGAGAGCGGTTTAGTAACACTCTCTTTGTAGAATTTGGAAGTGTATACTAAGAGCGCTTTGAGGCCTATGGTAGAAAAGGAAATATCTTTCCATAAAAGCTAGACAGAAGCAATCTCAGAAACTCCTTTGTGATGTCTGCATTCAACTCACCGAGTGGAACATTCCTCTTGATAGAGCAGTTTGGAAACACTCTTTCTGTAGAATCAGCTTGTTTGTATTTGGACCTCCTTGAGGCCTTCGTTGGAAACGGGTTTTCATCTTATAAACCCAGACAGAAGAATTCTCAGAGTCTTCTTTGTGATGTGTGCTTTCAACTCACCGAGATAAAGATTTCTCTTGATAGAGCAATTTGGAAACACTCTTTTTGTAGAATTTGCAAGGGTACATTGAGAGCGCTTTCAGGCCTATGGTAGAAAAGGGAATATCTTTCCATAAAAGGTAGACAGAAGCAATCTCAGAAACTACTTTGTGATGTGTGCATTCAACTCACCGAGTGCAACATTCCTCTTGATAGAGCAGTTTGGAAACATTGTTTCTGTAGAATCTGCAAGTGGATATATGGACCGCTTTGAGGCCTTCGTTGGAAACGGGATTTCTTCCTATAAACCCAGACAGAAGAATTCTCAGAGATTTCTTTGTGATGTGTGAATTCAACTCACAGTGTGGATCCTTCCTTT
This sequence comes from Homo sapiens, assembly GCF_000001405.40. Classification (NCBI taxonomy): domain Eukaryota; kingdom Metazoa; phylum Chordata; class Mammalia; order Primates; family Hominidae; genus Homo; species Homo sapiens. Next base: position 59,312,983 of record NC_000006.12, read on the forward strand.
TGATAGAGCAGTTTTGAAACACTGTTTTTGTAGTATTTCCAAGCGGATATTTGGAACGCCTTGAAGCGTATGGTAGAAAAGGAAATATCTTCCCATAAAACCTAGACAGAACCCATCTCAGAAACGACTTTGTGATGTCTGCATTCAACTCACAGAGTTGAACATTTCTCTTGATAGAGCAGTTTTGAAACCCTCTTTCTGAAGGATCTGCAAGTGGATATTTGGAACTCCTTTGGGTCTTCGTTGGAAACGGGATTTCTTCGTATAAATCCAGACAGAAGAATTCTCCGAAACTTCTTTGGTTGTGTGCATTCAAGTCACAGAGTGGAACCTTCCTTTGGATAGAGCAGTTTGAAACGCTGTGGTTGTAGTATTTCCAAGCGGATATTAGAGCGCCTTGAAGCCTATGGTAGAAAAGGAAATATCTTCCCATAAAACCTAGACGGAAGCAATCTCAGAAACTACTGTGTGATGGCTGCATTCCACACACACGGTGGAACATTTCTCTTGATAGAGCAGTTTTGAAACACTCTTTCTGTAGAATCTGCAAGTGGATAATTGGACCTCCTAGAGGCCTTCGTTGGAAACGGGATTTCTTCATCTAAACCTACAGAGAAGAATTCTCAGTAACTTCTTCGGATGTGTGCATTCGACTCACAGAATGGAACATTCCGTTTGATAGAGCAGTTTTGAGACACCGTTTTTGTAGAATTCCCAAGTGGATATTTAGAGCACTTTGAAGTCTCTGCTAGAAAAGGAAACATCTTCATGTAAAAAGTAGATAGAATCGTTCTCAGAAAGTGCTTAGTGACGTGTGCGTTCAACTCACAGAGTTTAACGTTTCTTTTGATAGAGCGTTTCTGAAACACCCTTCTTGTAGTAGCTGCAAGTGGATATTTGGACCTATTTGAGGCCTTCTTTGGAAACGGGATTTCTTCATGTAACTCTAGATTGAAGAATTTTCAGAAACTCCTTTGTGATGTGTGCATTCAATTCAAAGAGTGAAACCTCCCTTTTCACAGAGCAGTTTTGAAACACTGTTTTTGTAGGATTTCCAAGGGGATATTTATAGCGCATTGAGCCTATGGCAGAAAAAGAAACATCTTCCTATAAAAACTAGACAGAATAATTCTCAGAATCTGCTTTGCGATGTGTGCGTTCAACTCACAGAGTAAAACTTTTCTTTTGATAGAGCAGTTTTGAAACACTCTTTTTGTAGTATTTGCATGTGTATATTTAGAGCGCATTGAAGCCCACAGTAGAAAAGGAAATAACTTCACCTAAAACCTAGACAGAAGCAATCTCAGAAACTACTTTGTGATGTGTACATTCAACTCACAGAGTGGAACTTTTCTCTTTATAGAGCAGTGTTGAAACACTCTTTTTGTAGAAACTGCAAGTGGATATTTGGACCTCTTTGAGGCCTTCGTTGGAAACGGGATTTCTTCCTATAACCCTAGACAGAAGAATTTTCAGAAACCTCATTGTGATGTGTGCGTTCATCTCACAGAGTGGAGTCTTCCGTTTGATAGAGAAGTTTTGAAACCCTGTTCTTGTAGGATTTCCAAGTGGATATTTAGACCACTTTGAAGCCTATGATAGAAAAGGAAACATCTTCATGGAAAACATAGATAGAATCATTCTCAGAAACAACTTTGTGATGTGTGCGTTGAACTCACCGTCTTTAACCTTTCTTTTGGTAGAGAAGTTTTGAAACACTCTCTTTGTAAAGTCTACAAGTGGATATTTTGAGCCCTTGGAGGCATTCTTTGGAAAAGGGAATGTCTTCACATAAAAGGCAGACAGAAGTGTTCTCAGAAACTGCTTTGTGATGTCTGTGTTCAACTCACAGAGTTTAACATTTCCTTTGAGAGAGCGGTTTAGTAACACTCTCTTTGTAGAATTTGGAAGTGTATACTAAGAGCGCTTTGAGGCCTATGGTAGAAAAGGAAATATCTTTCCATAAAAGCTAGACAGAAGCAATCTCAGAAACTCCTTTGTGATGTCTGCATTCAACTCACCGAGTGGAACATTCCTCTTGATAGAGCAGTTTGGAAACACTCTTTCTGTAGAATCAGCTTGTTTGTATTTGGACCTCCTTGAGGCCTTCGTTGGAAACGGGTTTTCATCTTATAAACCCAGACAGAAGAATTCTCAGAGTCTTCTTTGTGATGTGTGCTTTCAACTCACCGAGATAAAGATTTCTCTTGATAGAGCAATTTGGAAACACTCTTTTTGTAGAATTTGCAAGGGTACATTGAGAGCGCTTTCAGGCCTATGGTAGAAAAGGGAATATCTTTCCATAAAAGGTAGACAGAAGCAATCTCAGAAACTACTTTGTGATGTGTGCATTCAACTCACCGAGTGCAACATTCCTCTTGATAGAGCAGTTTGGAAACATTGTTTCTGTAGAATCTGCAAGTGGATATATGGACCGCTTTGAGGCCTTCATTGGAAACGGGATTTCTTCCTATAAACCCAGACAGAAGAATTCTCAGAGATTTCTTTGTGATGTGTGAATTCAACTCACAGTGTGGATCCTTCCTTTTGATAGAGCAGTTTTGAAACACTGTTTTTGTAGTATTTCCAAGCGGATATTTGGAACGCCTTGAAGCGTATGGTAGAAAAGGAAATATCTTCCCATAAAACCTAGACAGAACCCATCTCAGAAACGACTTTGTGATGTCTGCATTCAACTCACAGAGTTGAACATTTCTCTTGATAGAGCAGTTTTGAAACCCTCTTTCTGAAGGATCTGCAAGTGGATATTTGGAACTCCTTTGGGTCTTCGTTGGAAACGGGATTTCTTCGTATAAATCCAGACAGAAGAATTCTCCGAAACTTCTTTGGTTGTGTGCATTCAAGTCACAGAGTGGAACCTTCCTTTGGATAGAGCAGTTTGAAACGCTGTGGTTGTAGTATTTCCAAGCGGATATTAGAGCGCCTTGAAGCCTATGGTAGAAAAGGAAATATCTTCCCATAAAACCTAGACGGAAGCAATCTCAGAAACTACTGTGTGATGACTGCATTCCACACGCACGGTGGAACATTTCTCTTCATAGAGCAGTTTTGAAACACTCTTTCTGTAGAATCTGCAAGTGGATAATTGGACGGCCTTGAGGCCTTCGTTGGAAACGGGATTTCTTCATGTTACTCTAGACAGAAGAATTCTCAAACACTGCTATATGATGTTTGCATGCAAGTCAGAGAGTGCAACATTCCTCTTGATAGAGCAGTTGGGAAACACTCCTTTTGTAGAATTTGCAATGGGATATTTGGACTTCTTTGAGGCCTTCGTTGGAAACGGGATTTCTTCGTATGAATCTAGACAGAAGAATTCTCAGAAACTTCCTTGTGATGTGTGCATTCAACTCAGCGAGTGGCACCTTCCTTTGGATACAGCAGTTTTGAAACACTGTTTTTGTAGTATTTCCAAGCGGATATTTAGAGCGCCTTGAAGCCTATGCTAGAAATGGAAATATCTCCCCATAAAACCAAGACAGAAGCAATCTCAGAAACTAATGTGTGATGGCTGCATTCCACACACACGGTGGACCATTTCTCTTGATAGAGCAGTTTTGAAACACTCTTTCTGTAGAATCTGCAAGTGGATAATTGGACCTCCTAGAGGCCTTCGTTGGAAACGGGATTTCTTCATCTAAACCTACAGAGAAGAATTCTCAGTAACTTCTTCGGATGTGTGCATTCAACTCACAGAATGGAACATTCCCTTTGATAGAGCAGTTTTGAGACACCGTTTTTGTAGAATTCCCAAGTGGATATTTAGAGCACTTTGAAGTCTCTGCTAGAAAAGGAAACATCTTCATGTAAAAAGTAGATAGAATCGTTCTCAGAAAGTGCTTAGTGACGTGTGCGTTCAACTCACAGAGTTTAACGTTTCTTTTGATAGAGCGTTTCTGAAACACCCTTCTTGTAGTAGCTGCAAGTGGATATTTGGACCTATTTGAGGCCTTCTTTGGAAACGGGATTTCTTCATGTAACTCTAGATTGAAGAATTTTCAGAAACTCCTTTGTGATGTGTGCATTCAATTCAAAGAGTGAAACCTCCCTTTTCACAGAGCAGTTTTGAAACACTGTTTTTGTAGGACTTCCAAGGGGATATTTATAGCGCATTGAGCCTATGGCAGAAAAAGAAACATCTTCCTATAAAAACTAGACAGAATAATTCTCAGAATCTGCTTTGCGATGTGTGCGTTCAACCCACAGAGTAAAACTTTTCTTTTGATAGAGCAGTTTTGAAACACTCTTTTTGTAGTATTTGCATGTGTATATTTAGAGCGCATTGAAGCCCACAGTAGAAAAGGAAATAACTTCACCTAAAACCTAGACAGAAGCAATCTCAGAAACTACTTTGTGATGTGTACATTCAACTCACAGAGTGGAACTTTCCTCTTTATAGAGCAGTGTTGAAACACTCTTTTTGTAGAAACTGCAAGTGGATATTTGGACCTCTTTGAGGCCTTCGTTGGAAACGGGATTTCTTCCTATAACCCTAGACAGAAGAATTTTCAGAAACCTCATTGTGATGTGTGCGTTCATCTCACAGAGTGGAGTGTTCCGTTTGATAGAGAAGTTTTGAAACCCTGTTCTTGTAGGATTTCCAAGTGGATATTTAGACCACTTTGAAGCCTATGATAGAAAAGGAAACATCTTCATGGAAAACATAGATAGAATCATTCTCAGAAACAACTTTGTGATGTGTGCGTTGAACTCACCGTCTTTAACCTTTCTTTTGGTAGAGAAGTTTTGAAACACTCTCTTTGTAAAGTCTACAAGTGGATATTTTGAGCCCTTGGAGGCATTCTTTGGAAAAGGGAATGTCTTCACATAAAAGGCAGACAGAAGTGTTCTCAGAAACTGCTTTGTGATGTCTGTGTTCAACTCACAGAGTTTAACATTTCCTTTGAGAGAGCGGTTTAGTAACACTCTCTTTGTAGAATTTGGAAGTGTATACTAAGAGCGCTTTGAGGCCTATGGTAGAAAAGGAAATATCTTTCCATAAAAGCTAGACAGAAGCAATCTCAGAAACTCCTTTGTGATGTCTGCATTCAACTCACCGAGTGGAACATTCCTCTTGATAGAGCAGTTTGGAAACACTCTTTCTGTAGGATCAGCTTGTTTGTATTTGGACCTCCTTGAGGCCTTCGTTGGAAACGGGTTTTCATCTTATAAACCCAGACAGAAGAATTCTCAGAGTCTTCTTTGTGATGTGTGCTTTCAACTCACCGAGATAAAGATTTCTCTTGATAGAGCAATTTGGAAACACTCTTTTTGTAGAATTTGCAAGGGTACATTGAGAGCGCTTCAGGCCTATGGTAGAAAAGGGAATTCTTTCCATAAAAGGTAGACAGAAGCAATCTCAGAAACTACTTTGTGATGTGTGCATTCAACTCACCGAGTGCAACATTCCTCTTGACCGAGCAGTTTGGAAACATTGTTTCTGTAGAATCTGCAAGTGGATATTTGGACCTCTTTGAGGCCTTCGTTGGAAACGGGATTGCTTCCTATAAACCCAGACAGAAGAATTCTCAGAGACTTCTTTGTGATGTGTGAATTCAACTCACAGTGTGGATCCTTCCTTTTGATAGAGCAGTTTTGAAACACTGTTTTTGTAGTATTTCCAAGCGGATATTTGGAACGCCTTGAAGCGTATGGTAGAAAAGGAAATATCTTCCCATAAAACCTAGACAGAACCCATCTCAGAAACGACTTTGTGATGTCTGCATTCAACTCACAGAGTTGAACATTTCTCTTGATAGAGCAGTTTTGAAACCCTCTTTCTGAAGGATCTGCAAGTGGATATTTGGAACTCCTTTGGGTCTTCGTTGGAAACGGGATTTCTTCGTATAAATCCAGACAGAAGAATTCTCCGAAACTTCTTTGGTTGTGTGCATTCAAGTCACAGAGTGGAACCTTCCTTTGGATAGAGCAGTTTGAAACGCTGTGGTTGTAGTATTTCCAAGCGGATATTAGAGCGCCTTGAGGCCTATGGTAGAAAAGGAAATATCTTCCCATAAAACCTAGACGGAAGCAATCTCAGAAACTACTGTGTGATGGCTGCATTCCACACACACGGTGGAACATTTCTCTTGATAGAGCAGTTTTGAAACACTCTTTCTGTAGAATCTGCAAGTGGATAATTGGACCGCCTTGAGGCCTTCGTTGGAAACGGGATTTCTTCATGTTACTCTAGACAGAAGAATTCTCAAACACTGCTATATGATGTTTGCATGCAAGTCACAGAGTGCAACATTCCTCTTGATAGAGCAGTTGGGAAACACTCCTTTTGTAGAATTTGCAATGGGATATTTGGACTTCTTTGAGGCCTTCGTTGGAAACGGGATTTCTTCGTATGAATCTAGACAGAAGAATTCTCAGAAACTTCCTTGTGATGTGTGCATTCAACTCAGCGAGTGGCACCTTCCTTTGGATACAGCAGTTTTGAAACACTGTTTTTGTAGTATTTCCAAGCGGATATTTAGAGCGCCTTGAAGCCTATGCTAGAAATGGAAATATCTCCCCATAAAACCAAGACAGAAGCAATCTCAGAAACTAATGTGTGATGGCTGCATTCCACACACACGGTGGACCATTTCTCTTGATAGAGCAGTTTTGAAACACTCTTTCTGTAGAATCTGCAAGTGGATAATTGGACCTCCTAGAGGCCTTCGTTGGAAACGGGATTTCTTCATCTAAACCTACAGAGAAGAATTCTCAGTAACTTCTTCGGATGTGTGCATTCGACTCACAGAATGGAACATTCCGTTTGATAGAGCAGTTTTGAGACACCGTTTTTGTAGAATTCCCAAGTGGATATTTAGAGCACTTTGAAGTCTCTGCTAGAAAAGGAAACATCTTCATGTAAAAAGTAGATAGAATCGTTCTCAGAAAGTGCTTAGTGACGTGTGCGTTCAACTCACAGAGTTTAACGTTTCTTTTGATAGAGCGTTTCTGAAACACCCTTCTTGTAGTAGCTGCAAGTGGATATTTGGACCTATTTGAGGCCTTCTTTGGAAACGGGATTTCTTCATGTAACTCTAGATTGAAGAATTTTCAGAAACTCCTTTGTGATGTGTGCATTCAATTCAAAGAGTGAAACCTCCCTTTTCACAGAGCAGTTTTGAAACACTGTTTTTGTAGGACTTCCAAGGGGATATTTATAGCGCATTGAGCCTATGGCAGAAAAAGAAACATCTTCCTATAAAAACTAGACAGAATAATTCTCAGAATCTGCTTTGCGATGTGTGCGTTCAACCCACAGAGTAAAACTTTTCTTTTGATAGAGCAGTTTTGAAACACTCTTTTTGTAGTATTTGCATGTGTATATTTAGAGCGCATTGAAGCCCACAGTAGAAAAGGAAATAACTTCACCTAAAACCTAGACAGAAGCAATCTCAGAAACTACTTTGTGATGTGTACATTCAACTCACAGAGTGGAACTTTCCTCTTTATAGAGCAGTGTTGAAACACTCTTTTTGTAGAAACTGCAAGTGGATATTTGGACCTCTTTGAGGCCTTCGTTGGAAACGGGATTTCTTCCTATAACCCTAGACAGAAGAATTTTCAGAAACCTCATTGTGATGTGTGCGTTCATCTCACAGAGTGGAGTGTTCCGTTTGATAGAGAAGTTTTGAAACCCTGTTCTTGTAGGATTTCCAAGTGGATATTTAGACCACTTTGAAGCCTATGATAGAAAAGGAAACATCTTCATGGAAAACATAGATAGAATCATTCTCAGAAACAACTTTGTGATGTGTGCGTTGAACTCACCGTCTTTAACCTTTCTTTTGGTAGAGAAGTTTTGAAACACTCTCTTTGTAAAGTCTACGAGTGGATATTTTGAGCCCTTGGAGGCATTCTTTGGAAAAGGGAATGTCTTCACATAAAAGGCAGACAGAAGTGTTCTCAGAAACTGCTTTGTGATGTCTGTGTTCAACTCACAGAGTGTAACATTTCCTTTGAGAGAGCGGTTTAGTAACACTCTCTTTGTAGAATTTGGAAGTGTATACTAAGAGCGCTTTGAGGCCTATGGTAGAAAAGGAAATATCTTTCCATAAAAGCTAGACAGAAGCAATCTCAGAAACTCCTTTGTGATGTCTGCATTCAACTCACCGAGTGGAACATTCCTCTTGATAGAGCAGTTTGGAAACACTCTTTCTGTAGAATCAGCTTGTTTGTATTTGGACCTCCTTGAGGCCTTCGTTGGAAACGGGTTTTCATCTTATAAACCCAGACAGAAGAATTCTCAGAGTCTTCTTTGTGATGTGTGCTTTCAACTCACCGAGATAAAGATTTCTCTTGATAGAGCAATTTGGAAACACTCTTTTTGTAGAATTTGCAAGGGTACATTGAGAGCGCTTTCAGGCCTATGGTAGAAAAGGGAATATCTTTCCATAAAAGGTAGACAGAAGCAATCTCAGAAACTACTTTGTGATGTGTGCATTCAACTCACCGAGTGCAACATTCCTCTTGATAGAGCAGTTTGGAAACATTGTTTCTGTAGAATCTGCAAGTGGATATTTGGACCTCTTTGAGGCCTTCGTTGGAAACGGGATTTCTTCCTATAAACCCAGACAGAAGAATTCTCAGAGACTTCTTTGTGATGTGTGAATTCAACTCACAGTGTGGATCCTTCCTTTTGATAGAGCAGTTTTGAAACACTGTTTTGGTAGTATTTCCAAGCGGATATTTGGAACGCCTTGAAGCGTATGGTAGAAAAGGAAATATCTTCCCATAAAACCTAGACAGAACCAATCTCAGAAACGACTTTGTGATGTCTGCATTCAACTCACAGTAGTTGAACATTTCTCTTGATAGAGCAGTTTTGAAACCCTCTTTCTGAAGGATCTGCAAGTGGATATTTGGAACTCCTTTGGGTCTTCGTTGGAAACGGGATTTCTTCGTATAAATCTAGACAGAAGAATTCTCCGAAACTTCTTTGGTTGTGTGCATTCAAGTCACAGAGTGGAACCTTCCTTTGGATAGAGCAGTTTGAAACGCTGTGGTTGTAGTATTTCCAAGCGGATATTAGAGCGCCTTGAAGCCTATGGTAGAAAAGGAAATATCTTCCCATAAAACCTAGACGGAAGCAATCTCAGAAACTACTGTGTGATGGCTGCATTCCACACACACGGTGGAACATTTCTCTTGATAGAGCAGTTTTGAAACACTCTTTCTGTAGAATCTGCAAGTGGATAATTGGACCGCCTCGAGGCCTTCGTTGGAAGCGGGATTTCTTCATGTTACTCTAGACAGAAGAATTCTCAAACACTGCTATGTGATGTTTGCATTCAAGTCACAGAGTGCAACATTCCTCTTGATAGAGCAGTTGGGAAACACTCCTTTTGTAGAATTTGCAATGGGATATTTGGACTTCTTTGAGGCCTTCGTTGGAAACGGGATTTCTTCGTATGAATCTAGACAGAAGAATTCTCAGAAACTTCCTTGTGATGTGTGCATTCAACTCAGCGAGTGGCACCTTCCTTTGGATACAGCAGTTTTGAAACACTGTTTTTGTACTATTTCCAAGCGGATATTTAGAGCGCCTTGAAGCCTATGCTAGAAATGGAAATATCTCCCCATAAAACCAAGACAGAAGCAATCTCAGAAACTAATGTGTGATGGCTGCATTCCACACACACGGTGGACCATTTCTCTTGATAGAGCAGTTTTGAAACACTCTTTCTGTAGAATCTGCAAGTGGATAATTGGACCTCCTAGAGGCCTTCGTTGGAAACGGGATTTCTTCATCTAAACCTACAGAGAAGAATTCTCAGTAACTTCTTCGGATGTGTGCATTCGACTCACAGAATGGAACATTCCCTTTGATAGAGCAGTTTTGAGACACCGTTTTTGTAGAATTCCCAAGTGGATATTTAGAGCACTTTGAAGTCTCTGCTAGAAAAGGAAACATCTTCATGTAAAAAGTAGATAGAATCGTTCTCAGAAAGTGCTTAGTGACGTGTGCGTTCAACTCACAGAGTTTAACGTTTCTTTTGATAGAGCGTTTCTGAAACACCCTTCTTGTAGTAGCTGCAAGTGGATATTTGGACCTATTTGAGGCCTTCTTTGGAAACGGGATTTCTTCATGTAACTCTAGATTGAAGAATTTTCAGAAACTCCTTTGTGATGTGTGCATTCAATTCAAAGAGTGAAACCTCCCTTTTCACAGAGCAGTTTTGAAACACTGTTTTTGTAGGACTTCCAAGGGGATATTTATAGCGCATTGAGCCTATGGCAGAAAAAGAAACATCTTCCTATAAAAACTAGACAGAATAATTCTCAGAATCTGCTTTGCGATGTGTGCGTTCAACCCACAGAGTAAAACTTTTCTTTTGATAGAGCAGTTTTGAAACACTCTTTTTGTAGTATTTGCATGTGTATATTTAGAGCGCATTGAAGCCCACAGTAGAAAAGGAAATAACTTCACCTAAAACCTAGACAGAAGCAATCTCAGAAACTACTTTGTGATGTGTACATTCAACTCACAGAGTGGAACTTTCCTCTTTATAGAGCAGTGTTGAAACACTCTTTTTGTAGAAACTGCAAGTGGATATTTGGACCTCTTTGAGGCCTTCGTTGGAAACGGGATTTCTTCCTATAACCCTAGACAGAAGAATTTTCAGAAACCTCATTGTGATGTGTGCGTTCATCTCACAGAGTGGAGTCTTCCGTTTGATAGAGAAGTTTTGAAACCCTGTTCTTGTAGGATTTCCAAGTGGATATTTAGACCACTTTGAAGCCTATGATAGAAAAGGAAACATCTTCATGGAAAACATAGATAGAATCATTCTCAGAAACAACTTTGTGATGTGTGCGTTGAACTCACCGTCTTTAACCTTTCTTTTGGTAGAGAAGTTTTGAAACACTCTCTTTGTAAAGTCTACAAGTGGATATTTTGAGCCCTTGGAGGCATTCTTTGGAAAAGGGAATGTCTTCACATAAAAGGCAGACAGAAGTGTTCTCAGAAACTGCTTTGTGATGTCTGTGTTCAACTCACAGAGTTTAACATTTCCTTTGAGAGAGCGGTTTAGTAACACTCTCTTTGTAGAATTTGGAAGTGTATACTAAGAGCGCTTTGAGGCCTATGGTAGAAAAGGAAATATCTTTCCATAAAAGCTAGACAGAAGCAATCTCAGAAACTCCTTTGTGATGTCTGCATTCAACTCACCGAGTGGAACATTCCTCTTGATAGAGCAGTTTGGAAACACTCTTTCTGTAGAATCAGCTTGTTTGTATTTGGACCTCCTTGAGGCCTTCGTTGGAAACGGGTTTTCATCTTATAAACCCAGACAGAAGAATTCTCAGAGTCTTCTTTGTGATGTGTGCTTTCAACTCACCGAGATAAAGATTTCTCTTGATAGAGCAATTTGGAAACACTCTTTTTGTAGAATTTGCAAGGGTACATTGAGAGCGCTTTCAGGCCTATGGTAGAAAAGGGAATATCTTTCCATCAAAGGTAGACAGAAGCAATCTCAGAAACTACTTTGTGATGTGTGCATTCAACTCACCGAGTGCAACATTCCTCTTGACCGAGCAGTTTGGAAACATTGTTTCTGTAGAATCTGCAAGTGGATATATGGACCGCTTTGAGGCCTTCGTTGGAAACGGGATTTCTTCCTATAAACCCAGACAGAAGAATTCTCAGAGATTTCTTTGTGATGTGTGAATTCAACTCACAGTGTGGATCTTTCCTTTTGATAGAGCAGTTTTGAAACACTGTTTTTGTAGTATTTCCAAGCAGATATTTGGAACGCCTTGAAGAGTATAGTAGAAAAGGAAATATCTTCCCATAAAACCTAGACAGAACCCATCTCAGAAACGACTTTGTGATGTCTGCATTCAACTCACAGAGTTGAACATTTCTCTTGATAGAGCAGTTTTGAAACCCTCTTTCTGAAGGATCTGCAAGTGGATATTTGGAACTCCTTTGGGTCTTCGTTGGAAACGGGATTTCTTCGTATAAATCCAGACAGAAGAATTCTCCGAAACTTCTTTGGTTGTGTGCATTCAAGTCACAGAGTGGAACCTTCCTTTGGATAGAGCAGTTTGAAACGCTGTGGTTGTAGTATTTCCAAGCGGATATTAGAGCGCCTTGAGGCCTATGGTAGAAAAGGAAATATCTTCCCATAAAATCTAGACGGAAGCAATCTCAGAAACTACTGTGTGATGGCTGCATTCCACACACACGGTGGAACATTTCTCTTGATAGAGCAGTTTTGAAACACTCTTTCTGTAGAATCTGCAAGTGGATAATTGGACCGCCTTGAGGCCTTCGTTGGAAACGGGATTTCTTCATGTTACTCTAGACAGAAGAATTCTCAAACACTGCTATGTGATGTTTGCATTCAAGTCACAGAGTGCAACATTCCTCTTGATAGAGCAGTTGGGAAACACTCCTTTTGTAGAATTTGCAATGGGATATTTGGACTTCTTTGAGGCCTTCGTTGGAAACGGGATTTCTTCGTATGAATCTAGACAGAAGAATTCTCAGAAACTTCCTTGTGATGTGTGCATTCAACTCAGCGAGTGGCACCTTCCTTTGGATACAGCAGTTTTGAAACACTGTTTTTGTACTATTTCCAAGCGGATATTTAGAGCGCCTTGAAGCCTATGCTAGAAATGGAAATATCTCCCCATAAAACCATGACAGAAGCAATCTCAGAAACTAATGTGTGATGGCTGCATTCCACACACACGGTGGACCATTTCTCTTGATAGAGCAGTTTTGAAACACTCTTTCTGTAGAATCTGCAAGTGGATAATTGGACCTCCTAGAGGCCTTCGTTGGAAACGGGATTTCTTCATCTAAACCTACAGAGAAGAATTCTCAGTAACTTCTTCGGATGTGTGCATTCGACTCACACAATGGAACATTCCGTTTGATAGAGCAGTTTTGAGACACCGTTTTTGTAGAATTCCCAAGTGGATATTTAGAGCACTTTGAAGTCTCTGCTAGAAAAGGAAACATCTTCATGTAAAAAGTAGATAGAATCGTTCTCAGAAAGTGCTTAGTGACGTGTGCGTTCAACTCACAGAGTTTAACGTTTCTTTTGATAGACCGTTTCTGAAACACCCTTCTTGTAGTAGCTGCAAGTGGATATTTGGACCTATTTGAGGCCTTCTTTGGAAACGGGATTTCTTCATGTAACTCTAGTTTGAAGAATTTTCAGAAACTCCTTTGTGATGTGTGCATTCAATCCAAAGAGTTAAACCTCCCTTTTCACAGAGCAGTTTTGAAACACTGTTTTTGTAGGATTTCCAAGGGGATATTTATAGCGCATTGAGCCTACGGCAGAAAAAGAAACATCTTCCTATAAAAACTAGACAGAATAATTCTCAGAATCTGCTTTGCGATGTGTGCGTTCAACCCACAGAGTAAAACTTTTCTTTTGATAGAGCAGTTTTGAAACACTCTTTTTGTAGTATTTGCATGTGTATATTTAGAGCGCATTGAAGCCCACAGTAGAAAAGGAAATAACTTCACCTAAAACCTAGACAGAAGCAATCTCAGAAACTACTTTGTGATGTGTACATTCAACTCACAGAGTGGAACTTTCCTCTTTATAGAGCAGTGTTGAAACACTCTTTTTGTAGAAACTGCAAGTGGATATTTAGACTTCTTTGAGGCCTTCGTTGGAAACGGGATTTCTTCCTATAACCCTAGACAGAGAAGAATTTTCGAAACCTCATTGTGATGTGTGCGTTCATCTCACAGAGTGGAGTCTTCCGTTTGATAGAGAAGTTTTGAAACCCTGTTCTTGTAGGATTTCCAAGTGGATATTTAGACCACTTTGAAGCCTATGATAGAAAAGGAAACATCTTCATGGAAAACATAGATAGATCATTCTCAGAAACAACTTTGTGATGTGTGCGTTGAACTCGCCGTCTTTAACCTTTCTTTTGGTAGAGAAGTTTTGAAACACTCTCTTTGTAAAGTCTACAAGTGGATATTTTGAGCCCTTGGAGGCATTCTTTGGAAAAGGGAATGTCTTCACATAAAAGGCAGACAGAAGTGTTCTCAGAAACTGCTTTGTGATGTCTGTGTTCAACTCACAGAGTTTAACATTTCCTTTGAGAGAGCGGTTTAGTAACACTCTCTTTGTAGAATTTGGAAGTGTATACTAAGAGCGCTTTGAGGCCTATGGTAGAAAAGGAAATATCTTTCCATAAAAGCTAGACAGAAGCAATCTCAGAAACTCCTTTGTGATGTCTGCATTCAACTCACCGAGTGGAACATTCCTCTTGATAGAGCAGTTTGGAAACACTCTTTCTGTAGAATCAGCTTGTTTGTATTTGGACCTCCTTGAGGCCTTCGTTGGAAACGGGTTTTCATCTTATAAACCCAGACAGAAGAATTCTCAGAGTCTTCTTTGTGATGTGTGCTTTCAACTCACCGAGATAAAGATTTCTCTTGATAGAGCAATTTGGAAACACTCTTTTTGTAGAATTTGCAGGGGTACATTGAGAGCGCTTTCAGGCCTATGGTAGAAAAGGGAATATCTTTCCATAAAAGGTAGACAGAAGCAATCTCAGAAACTACTTTGTGATGTGTGCATTCAACTCACCGAGTGCAACATTCCTCTTGACCGAGCAGTTTGGAAACATTGTTTCTGTAGAATCTGCAAGTGGATATTTGGACCTCTTTGAGGCCTTCGTTGGAAACGGGATTTCTTCCTATAAACCCAGACAGAAGAATTCTCAGAGATTTCTTTGTGATGTGTGAATTCAACTCACAGTGTGGATCCTTCCTTTTGATAGAGCAGTTTTGAAACACCGTTTTTGTAGTATTTCCAAGCGGATATTTGGAACGCCTTGAAGCGTATGGTAGAAAAGGAAATATCTTCCCATAAAACCTAGACAGAACCAATCTCAGAAACGACTTTGTGATGTCTGCATTCAACTCACAGAGTTGAACATTTCTCTTCATAGAGCAGTTTTGAAACCCTCTTTCTGAAGGATCTGCAAGTGGATATTTGGAACTCCTTTGGGTACTTCGTTGGAAACGGGATTTCTTCGTATAAATCCAGACAGAAGAATTCTCCGAAACTTCTTTGGTTGTGTGCATTCAAGTCACAGAGTGGAACCTTCCTTTGGATAGAGCAGTTTGAAACGCTGTGGTTGTAGTATTTCCAAGCAGATAATAGAGCGCCTTGAAGCCTATGGTAGAAAAGGAAATATCTTCCCATAAAACCTAGACGGAAGCAATCTCAGAAACTACTGTGTGATGGCTGCATTCCACACACACGGTGGAACATTTCTCTTGATAGAGCAGTTTTGAAACACTCTTTCTGTAGAATCTGCAAGTGGATAATTGGACCGCCTTGAGGCCTTCGTTGGAAACGGGATTTCTTCATGTTACTCTAGACAGAAGAATTCTCAAACACTGCTATGTGATGTTTGCATTCAAGTCACAGAGTGCAACATTCCTCTTGATAGAGCAGTTGGGAAACACTCCTTTTGTAGAATTTGCAATGGGATATTTGGACTTCTTTGAGGCCTTCGTTGGAAACGGGATTTCTTCGTATGAATCTAGACAGAAGAATTCTCAGAAACTTCCTTGTGATGTGTGCATTCAACTCAGCGAGTGGCACCTTCCTTTGGATACAGCAGTTTTGAAACACTGTTTTTGTACTATTTCCAAGCGGATATTTAGAGCGCCTTGAAGCCTATGCTAGAAATGGAAATATCTCCCCATAAAACCAAGACAGAAACAATCTCAGAAACTAATGTGTGATGGCTGCATTCCACACACACGGTGGACCATTTCTCTTGATAGAGCAGTTTTGAAACACTCTTTCTGTAGAATCTGCAAGTGGATAATTGGACCTCCTAGAGGCCCTTCGTTGGAAACGGGATTTCTTCATCTAAACCTACAGAGAAGAATTCTCAGTAACTTCTTCGGATGTGTGCATTCGACTCACAGAATGGAACATTCCGTTTGATAGAGCAGTTTTGAGACACCATTTTTGTAGAATTCCCAAGTGGATATTTAGAGCACTTTGAAGTCTCTGCTAGAAAAGGAAACATCTTCATGTAAAAAGTAGATAGAATCGTTCTCAGAAAGTGCTTAGTGACGTGTGTGTTCAACTCACAGAGTTTAACGTTTCTTTTGATAGAGCGTTTCTGAAACACCCTTCTTGTAGTAGCTGCAAGTGGATATTTGGACCTATTTGAGGCCTTCTTTGGAAACGGGATTTCTTCATGTAACTCTAGATTGAAGAATTTTCAGAAACTCCTTTGTGATGTGTGCATTCAATTCAAAGAGTGAAACCTCCCTTTTCACAGAGCAGTTTTGAAACACTGTTTTTGTAGGATTTCCAAGGGGATATTTATAGCGCATTGATCCTATGGCAGAAAAACAAACATCTTCCTATAAAAACTAGACAGAATAATTCTCAGAATCTGCTTTGCGATGTGTGCGTTCAACCCACAGAGTAAAACTTTTCTTTTGATAGAGCAGTTTTGAAACACTCTTTTTGTAGTATTTGCATGTGTATATTTAGAGCGCATTGAAGCCCACAGTAGAAAAGGAAATAACTTCACCTAAAACCTAGACAGAAGCAATCTCAGAAACTACTTTGTGATGTGTACATTCAACTCACAGAGTGGAACTTTCCTCTTTATAGAGCAGTGTTGAAACACTCTTTTTGTAGAAACTGCAAGTGGATATTTGGACCTCTTTGAGGCCTTCGTTGGAAACGGGATTTCTTCCTATAACCCTAGACAGAAAAATTTTCAGAAACCTCATTGTGATGTGTGCGTTCATCTCACAGAGTGGAGTCTTCCGTTTGATAGAGAAGTTTTGAAACCCTGTTCTTGTAGGATTTCCAAGTGGATATTTAGACCACTTTGAAGCCTATGATAGAAAAGGAAACATCTTCATGGAAAACATAGATAGAATCATTCTCAGAAACAACTTTGTGATGTGTGCGTTGAACTCACCGTCTTTAACCTTTCTTTTGGTAGAGAAGTTTTGAAACACTCTCTTTGTAAAGTCTACAAGTGGATATTTTGAGCCCTTGGAGGCATTCTTTGGAAAAGGGAATGTCTTCACATAAAAGGCAGACAGAAGTGTTCTCAGAAACTGCTTTGTGATGTCTGTGTTCAACTCACAGAGTTTAACATTTCCTTTGAGAGAGCGGTTTAGTAACACTCTCTTTGTAGAATTTGGAAGTGTATACTAAGAGCGCTTTGAGGCCTATGGTAGAAAAGGAAATATCTTTCCATAAAAGCTAGACAGAAGCAATCTCAGAAACTCCTTTGTGATGTCTGCATTCAACTCACCGAGTGGAACATTCCTCTTGATAGAGCAGTTTGGAAACACTCTTTCTGTAGAATCAGCTTGTTTGTATTTGGACCTCCTTGAGGCCTTCGTTGGAAACGGGTTTTCATCTTATAAACCCAGACAGAAGAATTCTCAGAGTCTTCTTTGTGATGTGTGCTTTCAACTCACCGAGATAAAGATTTCTCTTGATAGAGCAATTTGGAAACACTCTTTTTGTAGAATTTGCAAGGGTACATTGAGAGCGCTTTCAGGCCTATGGTAGAAAAGGGAATATCTTTCCATAAAAGGTAGACAGAAGCAATCTCAGAAACTACTTTGTGATGTGTGCATTCAACTCACCGAGTGCAACATTCCTCTTGATAGAGCAGTTTGGAAACATTGTTTCTGTAGAATCTGCAAGTGGATATATGGACCGCTTTGAGGCCTTCGTTGGAAACGGGATTTCTTCCTATAAACCCAGACAGAAGAATTCTCAGAGATTTCTTTGTGATGTGTGAATTCAACTCACAGTGTGGATCCTTCCTTTTGATAGAGCAGTTTTGAAACACTGTTTTTGTAGTATTTCCAAGCGGATATTTGGAACGCCTTGAAGCGTATGGTAGAAAAGGAAATATCTTCCAATAAAACCTAGACAGAACCCATCTCAGAAACGACTTTGTGATGTCTGCATTCAACTCACAGAGTTGAACATTTCTCTTGATAGAGCAGTTTTGAAACCCTCTTTCTGAAGGAGCTGCAAGTGGATATTTGGAACTCCTTTGGGTCTTCGTTGGAAACGGGATTTCTTCGTATAAATCCAGACAGAAGAATTCTCCGAAACTTCTTTGGTTGTGTGCATTCAAGTCACAGAGTGGAACCTTCCTTTGGATAGAGCAGTTTGAAACGCTGTGGTTGTAGTATTTCCAAGCGGATATTAGAGCGCCTTGAGGCCTATGGTAGAAAAGGAAATATCTTCCCATAAAACCTAGACGGAAGCAATCTCAGAAACTACTGTGTGATGGCTGCATTCCACACACACGGTGGAACATTTCTCTTGATAGAGCAGTTTTGAAACACTCTTTCTGTAGAATCTGCAAGTGGATAATTGGACCGCCTTGAGGCCTTCGTTGGAAATGGGATTTCTTCATGTTACTCTAGACAGAAGAATTCTCAAACACTGCTGTGTGATGTTTGCATGCAAGTCACAGAGTGCAACATTCCTCTTGATAGAGCAGTTGGGAAACACTCCTTTTGTAGAATTTGCAATGGGATATTTGGACTTCTTTGAGGCCTTCGTTGGAAACGGGATTTCTTCGTATGAATCTAGACAGAAGAATTCTCAGAAACTTCCTTGTGATGTGTGCATTCAACTCAGCGAGTGGCACCTTCCTTTGGATACAGCAGTTTTGAAACACTGTTTTTGTAGTATTTCCAAGCGGATATTTAGAGCGCCTTGAAGCCTATGCTAGAAATGGAAATATCTCCCCATAAAACCAAGACAGAAGCAATCTCAGAAACTAATGTGTGATGGCTGCATTCCACACACACGGTGGACCATTTCTCTTGATAGAGCAGTTTTGAAACACTCTTTCTGTAGAATCTGCAAGTGGATAATTGGACCTCCTAGAGGCCTTCGTTGGAAACGGGATTTCTTCATCTAAACCTACAGAGAAGAATTCTCAGTAACTTCTTCGGATGTGTGCATTCGACTCACAGAATGGAACATTCCCTTTGGTAGAGCAGTTTTGAGACACCGTTTTTGTAGAATTCCCAAGTGGATATTTAGAGCACTTTGAAGTCTCTGCTAGAAAAGGAAACATCTTCATGTAAAAAGTAGATAGAATCGTTCTCAGAAAGTGCTTAGTGACGTGTGCGTTCAACTCACAGAGTTTAACGTTTCTTTTGATAGAGCGTTTCTGAAACACCCTTCTTGTAGTAGCTGCAAGTGGATATTTGGACCTATTTGAGGCCTTCTTTGGAAACGGGATTTCTTCATGTAACTCTAGATTGAAGAATTTTCAGAAACTCCTTTGTGATGTGTGCATTCAATTCAAAGAGTGAAACCTCCCTTTTCACAGAGCAGTTTTGAAACACTGTTTTTGTAGGATTTCCAAGGGGATATTTATAGCGCATTGAGCCTATGGCAGAAAAAGAAACATCTTCCTATAAAAACTAGACAGAATAATTCTCAGAATCTGCTTTGCGATGTGTGCGTTCAACTCACAGAGTAAAACTTTTCTTTTGATAGAGCAGTTTTGAAACACTCTTTTTGTAGTATTTGCATGTGTATATTTAGAGCGCATTGAAGCCCACAGTAGAAAAAGAAATAAATTCACCTAAAACCTAGACAGAAGCAATCTCAGAAACTACTTTGTGATGTGTACATTCAACTCACAGAGTGGAACTTTTCTCTTTATAGAGCAGTGTTGAAACACTCTTTTTGTAGAAACTGCAAGTGGATATTTGGACCTCTTTGAGGCCTTCGTTGGAAACGGGATTTCTTCCTATAACCCTAGACAGAATCATTCTCAGAAACAACTTTGTGATGTGTGCGTTGAACTCACAGTCTTTAACCTTTCTTTTGGTAGAGAAGTTTTGAAACACTCTCTTTGTAAAGTCTACAAGTGGATATTTTGAGCCCTTGGAGGCATTCTTTGGAAAAGGGAATGTCTTCACATAAAAGGCAGACAGAAGTGTTCTCAGAAACTGCTTTGTGATGTCTGTGTTCAACTCACAGAGTTTAACATTTCCTTTGAGAGAGCGGTTTAGTAACACTCTCTTTGTAGAATTTGGAAGTGTATACTAAGAGCGCTTTGAGGCCTATGGTAGAAAAGGAAATATCTTTCCATAAAAGCTAGACAGAAGCAATCTCAGAAACTCCTTTGTGATGTCTGCATTCAACTCACCGAGTGGAACATTCCTCTTGATAGAGCAGTTTGGAAACACTCTTTCTGTAGAATCAGCTTGTTTGTATTTGGACCTCCTTGAGGCCTTCGTTGGAAACGGGTTTTCATCTTATAAACCCAGACAGAAGAATTCTCAGAGTCTTCTTTGTGATGTGTGCTTTCAACTCACCGAGATAAAGATTTCTCTTGATAGAGCAATTTGGAAACACTCTTTTTGTAGAATTTGCAAGGGTACATTGAGAGCGCTTTCAGGCCTATGGTAGAAAAGGGAATATCTTTCCATCGAAGGTAGACAGAAGCAATCTCAGAAACTACTTTGTGATGTGTGCATTAAACTCACCGAGTGCAACATTCCTCTTGACCGAGCAGTTAGGAAATATTGTTTCTGTAGAATCTGCAAGTGGATATTTGGACCTCTTTGAGGCCTTCGTTGGAAACGGGATTTCTTCCTATAAACCCAGACAGAAGAATTCTCAGAGACTTCTTTGTGATGTGTGAATTCAACTCACAGTGTGGATCCTTCCTTTTGATAGAGCAGTTTCGAAACACTGTTTTTGTAGTATTTCCAAGCGAATATTTGGAACGCCTTGAAGCGTATGGTAGAAAAGGAAATATCTTCCCATAAAACCTAGACAGAACCAATCTCAGAAACGACTTTGTGATGTCTGCATTCAACTCACAGAGTTGAACATTTCTCTTGATAGAGCAGTTTTGAAACCCTCTTTCTGAAGGATCTGCAAGTGGATATTTGGAACTCCTTTGGGTCTTCGTTGGAAACGGGATTTCTTCGTATAAATCTAGACAGAAGAATTCTCCGAAACTTCTTTGGTTGTGTGCATTCAAGTCACAGAGTGGAACCTTCCTTTGGATAGAGCAGTTTGAAACGCTGTGGTTGTAGTATTTCCAAGCGGATATTAGAACGCCTTGAGGCCTATGGTAGAAAAGGAAATATCTTCCCATAAAACCTAGACGGAAGCAATCTCAGAAACTACTGTGTGATGGCTGCATTCCACACACACGGTGGAACATTTCTCTTGATAGAGCAGTTTTGAAACACTCTTTCTGTAGAATCTGCAAGTGGATAATTGGACCGCCTTGAGGCCTTCGTTGGAAACGGGATTTCTTCATGTTACTCTAGACAGAAGAATTCTCAAACACTGCTATGTGATGTTTGCATGCAAGTCACAGAGTGCAACATTCCTCTTGATAGAGCAGTTGGGAAACACTCCTTTTGTAGAATTTGCAATGGGATATTTGGACTTCTTTGAGGCCTTCGTTGGAAACGGGATTTCTTCGTATGAATCTAGACAGAAGAATTCTCAGAAACTTCCTTGTGATGTGTGCATTCAACTCAGCGAGTGGCACCTTCCTTTGGATACAGCAGTTTTGAAACACTGTTTTTGTAGTATTTCCAAGCGGATATTTAGAGCGCCTTGAAGCCTATGCTAGAAATGGAAATATCTCCCCATAAAACCAAGACAGAAGCAATCTCAGAAACTAATGTGTGATGGCTGCATTCCACACACACGGTGGACCATTTCTCTTGATAGAGCAGTTTTGAAACACTCTTTCTGTAGAATCTGCAAGTGGATAATTGGACCTCCTAGAGGCCTTCGTTGGAAACGGGATTTCTTCATCTAAACCTACAGAGAAGAATTCTCAGTAACTTCTTCGGATGTGTGCATTCGACTCACAGAATGGAACATTCCCTTTGATAGAGCAGTTTTGAGACACCGTTTTTGTAGAATTCCCAAGTGGATATTTAGAGCACTTTGAAGTCTCTGCTAGAAAAGGAAACATCTTCATGTAAAAGTAGATAGAATCGTTCTCAGAAAGTGCTTAGTGACGTGTGCGTTCAACTCACAGAGTTTAACGTTTCTTTTGATAGAGCGTTTCTGAAACACCCTTCTTGTAGTAGCTGCAAGTGGATATTTGGACCTATTTGAGGCCTTCTTTGGAAACGGGATTTCTTCATGTAACTCTAGTTTGAAGAATTTTCAGAAACTCCTTTGTGATGTGTGCATTCAATTCAAAGAGTGAAACCTCCCTTTTCACAGAGCAGTTTTGAAACACTGTTTTTGTAGGATTTCCAAGGGGATATTTATAGCGCATTGATCCTACGGCAGAAAAAGAAACATCTTCCTATAAAAACTAGACAGAATAATTCTCAGAATCTGCTTTGCGATGTGTGCGTTCAACCCACAGAGTAAAACTTTTCTTTTGATAGAGCAGTTTTGAAACACTCTTTTTGTAGTATTTGCATGTGTATATTTAGAGCGCATTGAAGCCCACAGTAGAAAAGGAAATAACTTCACCTAAAACCTAGACAGAAGCAATCTCAGAAACTAATTTGTGATGTGTACATTCAACTCACAGAGTGGAACTTTCCTCTTTATAGAGCAGTGTTGAAACACTCTTTTTGTAGAAACTGCAAGTGGATATTTGGACCTCTTTGAGGCCTTCGTTGGAAACGGGATTTCTTCCTATAACCCTAGACAGAAGAATTTTCAGAAACCTCATTGTGATGTGTGCGTTCATCTCACAGAGTGGAGTCTTCCGTTTGATAGAGAAGTTTTGAAACCCTGTTCTTGTAGGATTTCCAAGTGGATATTTAGACCACTTTGAAGCCTATGATAGAAAAGGAAACATCTTCATGGAAAACATAGATAGAATCATTGTCAGAAACAACTTTGTGATGTGTGCGTTGAACTCACCGTCTTTAACCTTTCTTTTGGTAGAGAAGTTTTGAAACACTCTCTTTGTAAAGTCTACAAGTGGATATTTTGAGCCCTTGGAGGCATTCTTTGGAAAAGGGAATGTCTTCACATAAAAGGCAGACAGAAGTGTTCTCAGAAACTGCTTTGTGATGTCTGTGTTCAACTCACAGAGTTTAACATTTCCTTTGAGAGAGCGGTTTAGTAACACTCTCTTTGTAGAATTTGGAAGTGTATACTAAGAGCGCTTTGAGGCCTATGGTAGAAAAGGAATTATCTTTCCATAAAAGCTAGACAGAAGCAATCTCAGAAACTCCTTTGTGATGTCTGCATTCAACTCACCGAGTGGAACATTCCTCTTGATAGAGCAGTTTGGAAACACTCTTTCTGTAGAATCAGCTTGTTTGTATTTGGACCTCCTTGAGGCCTTCGTTGGAAACGGGTTTTCATCTTATAAACCCAGACAGAAGAATTCTCAGAGTCTTCTTTGTGATGTGTGCTTTCAACTCACCGAGATAAAGATTTCTCTTGATAGAGCAATTTGGAAACACTCTTTTTGTAGAATTTGCAAGGGTACATTGAGAGCGCTTTCAGGCCTATGGTAGAAAAGGGAATATCTTTCCATCAAAGGTAGACAGAAGCAATCTCAGAAACTACTTTGTGATGTGTGCATTCAACTCACCGAGTGCAACATTCCTCTTGATAGAGCAGTTTGGAAACATTGTTTCTGTAGAATCTGCAAGTGGATATATGGACCGCTTTGAGGCCTTCGTTGGAAACGGGATTTCTTCCTATAAACCCAGACAGAAGAATTCTCAGAGATTTCTTTGTGATGTGTGAATTCAACTCACAGTGTGGATCCTTCCTTTTGATAGAGCAGTTTTGAAACACTGTTTTTGTAGTATTTCCAAGCGGATATTTGGAACGCCTTGAAGCGTATGGTAGAAAAGGAAATATCTTCCCATAAAACCTAGACAGAACCCATCTCAGAAACGACTTTGTGATGTCTGCATTCAACTCACAGAGTTGAACATTTCTCTTGATAGAGCAGTTTTGAAACCCTCTTTCTGAAGGAGCTGCAAGTGGATATTTGGAACTCCTTTGGGTCTTCGTTGGAAACGGGATTTCTTCGTATAAATCCAGACAGAAGAATTCTCCGAAACTTCTTTGGTTGTGTGCATTCAAGTCACAGAGTGGAACCTTCCTTTGGATAGAGCAGTTTGAAACGCTGTGGTTGTAGTATTTCCAAGCGGATATTAGAGCGCCTTGAAGCCTATGGTAGAAAAGGAAATATCTTCCCATAAAACCTAGACGGAAGCAATCTCAGAAACTACTGTGTGATGGCTGCATTCCACACACACGGTGGAACATTTCTCTTGATAGAGCAGTTTTGAAACACTCTTTCTGTAGAATCTGCAAGTGGATAATTGGACCGCCTTGAGGCCTTCGTTGGAAACGGGATTTCTTCATGTTACTCTAGACAGAAGAATTCTCAAACACTGCTATGTGATGTTTGCATGCAAGTCACAGAGTGCAACATTCCTCTTGATAGAGCAGTTGGGAAACACTCCTTTTGTAGAATTTGCAATGGGATATTTGGACTTCTTTGAGGCCTTCGTTGGAAACGGGATTTCTTCGTATGAATCTAGACAGAAGAATTCTCAGAAACTTCCTTGTGATGTGTGCATTCAACTCAGCGAGTGGCACCTTCCTTTGGATACAGCAGTTTTGAAACCCTGTTTTTGTACTATTTCCAAGCGGATATTTAGAGCGCCTTGAAGCCTATGCTAGAAATGGAAATATCTCCCCATAAAACCAAGACAGAAGCAATCTCAGAAACTAATGTGTGATGGCTGCATTCCACACACACGGTGGACCATTTCTCTTGATAGAGCAGTTTTGAAACACTCTTTCTGTAGAATCTGCAAGTGGATAATTGGACCTCCTAGAGGCCTTCGTTGGAAAAGGGATTTCGTCATCTAAACCTACAGAGAAGAATTCTCAGTAACTTCTTCGGATGTGTGCATTCGACTCACAGAGTGGAACATTCCCTTCGATAGAGCAGTTTTGAGACACAGTTTTGGTAGAATTCCCAAGCGGATATTTAGAGCACTTTGAAGTCTCTGCTAGAAAAGGAAACATCTTCATGTAAAAAGTAGATAGAATCGTTCTCAGAAAGTGCTTAGTGACGTGTGCGTTCAACTCACAGAGTGTAACGTTTCTTTTGATAGAGCGTTTCTGAAACACCCTTCTTGTAGTAGCTGCAAGTGGATATTTGGACCCATTGGAGGCCTTCTTTGGAAACGGGATTTCTTCATGTAACTCTAGATTGAAGAATTCTCAGAAACTCCTTTGTGATGTGTGCATTCAATTCAAAGAGTGAAACCTCCCTTTTCACAGAGCAGTTTGGAAACACTGTTTTTGTAGGATTTCCAAGGGGATATTTATAGCGCATTGAGCCTACGGCACAAAAAGAAACACCTTCCTATAAAAACTAGACAGAATAATTCTCAGAATCTGCTTTGCCATGTGTGCGTTCAACTCACAGAGTAAAACTTTTCTTTTGATAGAGCAGTTTTGAAACACTCTTTTTGTAGTATTTGCATGTGTATATTTAGAGCGCATTGAAGCCCACAGTAGAAAAGGAAATAACTTCACCTAAAACCTAGACAGAAGCAATCTCAGAAACTACTTTGTGATGTGTACATTCAACTCACAGAGTGGAACTTTCCTCTTTATAGAGCAGTGTTGAAACACTCTTTTTGTAGAAACTGCAAGTGGATATGTGGACCTCTTTGAGGCCCTCGTTGGAAACGGGATTTCTTCCTATAACCCTAGACAGAAGAATTTTCAGAAACCTCATTGTGATGTGTGCGTTCATCTCACAGAGTGGAGTCTTCCGTTTGATAGAGAAGTTTTGAAACCCTGTTCTTGTAGGATTTCCAAGTGGATATTTAGACCACTTTGAAGCCTATGATAGAAAAGGAAACATCTTCATGGAAAACATAGATAGAATCATTCTCAGAAACAACTTTGTGATGTGTGCGTTGAACTCGCCGTCTTTAACCTTTCTTTTGGTAGAGAAGTTTTGAAACACTCTCTTTGTAAAGTCTACAAGTGGATATTTTGAGCCCTTGGAGGCATTCTTTGGAAAAGGGAATGTCTTCACGTAAAAGGCAGACAGAAGTGTTCTCAGAAACTGCTTTGTGATGTCTGTGTTCAACTCACAGAGTTTAACATTTCCTTTGATAGAGCAGTTTAGTAACACTCTCTTTATAGAATTTGGAAGTGTATACTAAGAGCGCTTTGAGGCCTATGGTAGAAAAGGAAATATCTTTCCATAAAAGGTAGACAGAAGCAATCTCAGAAACTCCTTTGTGATGTCTGCATTCAACTCACCGAGTGGAACATTCCTCTTGATAGAGCAGTTTGGAAACACTCTTTCTGTAGAATCAGCTTGTTTGTATTTGGACCTCCTTGAGGCCTTCGGTTGGAAACGGGTTTTCATCTTATAAACCCAGACAGAAGAATTCTCAGAGTCTTCTTTGTGATGTGTGCTTTCAACTCACCGAGATAAAGATTTCTCTTGATAGAGCAATTTGGAAACACTCTTTTTGTAGAATTTGCAAGGATACATTGAGAGCACTTTCAGGCCTATGGTAGAAAAGGGAATACCTTTCCATAAAAGGTAGACAGAAGCAATCTCAGAAACTACTTTGTGATGTGTGCATTCAACTCACCGAGTGCAACATTCCTCTTGACCGAGCAGTTTGGAAACATTGTTTCTGTAGAATCTGCAAGTGGATATTTGGACCTCTTTGAGGCCTTCGTTGGAAACGGGATTTCTTCCTATAAACCCAGACAGAAGAATTCTCAGAGACTTCTTTGTGATGTGTGAATTCAACTCACAGTGTGGATCCTTCCTTTTGATAGAGCAGTTTCGAAACACTGTTTTTGTAGTATTTCCAAGCGGATATTTGGAACGCCTTGAAGCGTATGGTAGAAAAGGAAATATCTTCCCATAAAACCTAGACAGAACCAATCTCAGAAACGACTTTGTGATGTCTGCATTCAACTCACAGAGTTGAACATTTCTCTTGATAGAGCCGTTTTGAAACCCTCTTTCTGAAGGATCTGCAAGTGGATATTTGGAACTCCTTTGGGTCTTCGTTGGAAACGGGATTTCTTCGTATAAATCTAGACAGAAGAATTCTCCCGAACCTTCTTTGGTTGTGTGCATTCAAGTCACAGAGTGGAACCTTCCTTTGGATAGAGCAGTTTGAAACGCTGTGGTTGTAGTATTTCCAAGCGGATATTAGAGCGCCTTGAGGCCTATGGTAGAAAAGGAAATATCTTCCCATAAAACCTAGACGGAAGCAATCTCAGAAACTACTGTGTGATGGCTGCATTCCACACACACGGTGGAACATTTCTCTTGATAGAGCAGTTTTGAAACACTCTTTCTGTAGAATCTGCAAGTGGATAATTGGACCGCCTTGAGGCCTTCGTTGGAAACGGGATTTCTTCATGTTACTCTAGACAGAAGAATTCTCAAACACTGCTATGTGATGTTTGCATTCAAGTCACAGAGTGCAACATTCCTCTTGATAGAGCAGTTGGGAAACACTCCTTTTGTAGAATTTGCAATGGGATATTTGGACTTCTTTGAGGCCTTCGTTGGAAACGGGATTTCTTCGTATGAATCTAGACAGAAGAATTCTCAGAAACTTCCTTGTGATGTGTGCATTCAACTCAGCGAGTGGCACCTTCCTTTGGATACAGCAGTTTTGAAACACTGTTTTTGTAGTATTTCCAAGCGGATATTTAGAGCGCCTTGAAGCCTATGCTAGAAATGGAAATATCTCCCCATAAAACCAAGACAGAAGCAATCTCAGAAACTAATGTGTGATGGCTGCATTCCACACACACGGTGGACCATTTCTCTTGATAGAGCAGTTTTGAAACACTCTTTCTGTAGAATCTGCAAGTGGATAATTGGACCTCCTAGAGGCCTTCGTTGGAAACGGGATTTCTTCACCTAAACCTACAGAGAAGAATTCTCAGTAACTTCTTCGGATGTGTGCATTCGACTCACAGAATGGAACATTCCGTTTGATAGAGCAGTTTTGAGACACCGTTTTTGTAGAATTCCCAAGTGGATATTTAGAGCACTTTGAAGTCTCTGCTAGAAAAGGAAACATCTTCATGTAAAAAGTAGATAGAATCGTTCTCAGAAAGTGCTTAGTGACGTGTGTGTTCAACTCACAGAGTTTATCGTTTCTTTTGATAGAGCGTTTCTGAAACACCCTTCTTGTAGTAGCTGCAAGTGGATATTTGGACCTATTTGAGGCCTTCTTTGGAAACGGGATTTCTTCATGTAACTCTAGATTGAAGAATTTTCAGAAACTCCTTTGTGATGTGTGCATTCAATTCAAAGAGTGAAACCTCCCTTTTCACAGAGCAGTTTTGAAACACTGTTTTTGTAGGATTTCCAAGGGGATATTTATAGCGCATTGATCCTATGGCAGAAAAAGAAACATCTTCCTATAAAAACTAGACAGAATAATTCTCAGAATCTGCTTTGCGATGTGTGCGTTCAACTCACAGAGTAAAACTTTTCTTTTGATAGAGCAGTTTTGAAACACTCTTTTTGTAGTATTTGCATGTGTATATTTAGAGCGCATTGAAGCCCACAGTAGAAAAGGAAATAACTTCACCTAAAACCTAGACAGAAGCAATCTCAGAAACTACTTTGTGATGTGTACATTCAACTCACAGAGTGGAACTTTCCTCTTTATAGAGCAGTGTTGAAACACTCTTTTTGTAGAAACTGCAAGTGGATATTTGGACCTCTTTGAGGCCTTCGTTGGAAACGGGATTTCTTCCTATAACCCTAGACAGAAGAATTTTCAGAAACCTCATTGTGATGTGTGCGTTCATCTCACAGAGTGGAGTCTTCCGTTTGATAGAGAAGTTTTGAAACCCTGTTCTTGTAGGATTTCCAAGTGGATATTTAGACCACTTTGAAGCCTATGATAGAAAAGGAAACATCTTCATGGAAAACATAGATAGAATCATTCTCAGAAACAACTTTGTGATGTGTGCGTTGAACTCACCGTCTTTAACCTTTCTTTTGGTAGAGAAGTTTTGAAACACTCTCTTTGTAAAGTCTACAAGTGGATATTTTGAGCCCTTGGAGGCATTCTTTGGAAAAGGGAATGTCTTCACATAAAAGGCAGACAGAAGTGTTCTCAGAAACAGCTTTGTGATGTCTGTGTTCAACTCACAGAGTTTAACATTTCCTTTGAGAGAGCGGTTTAGTAACACTCTCTTTGTAGAATTTGGAAGTGTATACTAAGAGCGCTTTGAGGCCTATGGTAGAAAAGGAAATATCTTTCCATAAAAGCTAGACAGAAGCAATCTCAGAAACTCCTTTGTGATGTCTGCATTCAACTCACCGAGTGGAACATTCCTCTTGATAGTGCAGTTTGGAAACACTCTTTCTGTAGAATCAGCTTGTTTGTATTTGGACCTCCTTGAGGCCTTCGTTGGAAACGGGTTTTCATCTTATAAACCCAGACAGAAGAATTCTCAGAGTCTTCTTTGTGATGTGTGCTTTCAACTCACCGAGATAAAGATTTCTCTTGATAGAGCAATTTGGAAACACTCTTTTTGTAGAATTTGCAAGGGTACATTGAGAGCGCTTTCAGGCCTATGGTAGAAAAGGGAATATCTTTCCATCAAAGGTAGACAGAAACAATCTCAGAAACTACTTTGTGATGTGTGCATTCAACTCACCGAGTGCAACATTCCTCTTGACCGAGCAGTTTGGAAACATTGTTTCTGTAGAATCTGCAAGTGGATATTTGGACCTCTTTGAGGCCTTCGTTGGAAACGGGATTTCTTCCTATAAACCCAGACAGAAGAATTCTCAGAGACTTCTTTGTGATGTGTGAATTCAACTCACAGTGTGGATCCTTCCTTTTGATAGAGCAGTTTTGAAACACTGTTTTTGTAGTATTTCCAAGCGGATATTTGGAACGCCTTGAAGCGTATGGTAGAAAAGGAAATATCTTCCCATAAAACCTAGACAGAACCAATCTCAGAAACGACTTTGTGATGTCTGCATTCAACTCACAGAGTTGAACATTTCTCTTGATAGAGCAGTTTTGAAACCCTCTTTCTGAAGGATCTGCAAGTGGATATTTGGAACTCCTTTGGGTCTTCGTTGGAAACGGGATTTCTTCGTAGAAATCTAGACAGAAGTATTCTCCGAAACTTCTTTGGTTGTGTGCATTCAAGTCACAGGGTGGAACCTTCCTTTGGGTAGAGCAGTTTGAAACGCTGTGGTTGTAGTGTTTCCAAGCGGATATTAGAGCGCCTTGAGGCCTATGGTAGAAAAGGAAATATCTTCCCATAAAACCTAGACGGAAGCAATCTCAGAAACTACTGTGTGATGGCTGCATTCCACACACACGGTGGAACATTTCTCTTGATAGAGCAGTTTTGAAACACTCTTTCTGTAGAATCTGCAAGTGGATAATTGGACCGCCTTGAGGCCTTCGTTGGAAACGGGATTTCTTCATGTTACTCTAGATAGAAGAATTCTCAAACACTGCTATGTGATGTTTGCATTCAAGTCACAGAGTGCAACATTCCTCTTGATAGAGTAGTTGGGAAACACTCCTATTGTAGAATTTGCAATGGGATATTTGGACTTCTTTGAGGCCTTCGTTGGAAACGGGATTTCTTCGTATAAAACTAGACAGAAGAATTCTCAGAAACTTCTTTGTAATGTGTGCATTCAACTCAGCGTGTGGCACCTTCCTTTGGATACAGCAGTTTTGAAACACTGTTTTTGTAGTATTTCCAAGCGGATATTTAGAGCGCCTTGAAGCCTACGCTAGAAATGGAAATATCTCCCCATAAAACCAAGACAGAAGCAATCTCAGAAACTAATGTGTGATGGCTGCATTCCACACACACGGTGGACCATTTCTCTTGATAGAGCAGTTTTGAAACACTCTTTCTGTAGAATCTGCAAGTGGATAATTGGACCTCCTAGAGGCCTTCGTTGGAAACGGGATTTCTTCATCTAAACCTACAGAGAAGAATTCTCAGTAACTTCTTCGGATGTGTGCATTCGACTCACAGAGTGGAACATTCCCTTCGATAGAGCAGTTTTGAGACACCGTTTTGGTAGAATTCCCAAGTGGATATTTAGAGCACTTTGAAGTCTCTGCTAGAAAAGGAAACATCTTCATGTAAAAAGTACATAGAATCGTTCTCAGATAGTGCTTAGTGACGTGTGCGTTCAACTCACAGAGTGTAACGTTTCTTTTGATAGAGCGTTTCTGAAACACCCTTCTTGTAGTAGCTGCAAGTGGATATTTGGACCTATTGGAGGCCTTCTTTGGAAACGGGATTTCTTCATGTAACTCTAGATTGAAGAATTCTCAGAAACTCCTTTGTGATGTGTGCATTCAATTCAAAGAGTGAAACCTCCCTTTTCACAGAGCAGTTTGGAAACACTGTTTTTGTAGGATTTCCAAGGGGATATTTATAGCGCATTGAGCCCACGGCAGAAAAAGAAACACCTTCCTATAAAAACTAGACAGAATAATTCTCAGAATCTGCTTTGCCATGTGTGCGTTCAACTCACAGAGTAAAACTTTTCTTTTGATAGAGCAGTTTTGAAACACTCTTTTTGTAGTATTTGCATGTGTATATTTAGAGCGCATTGAAGCCCACAGTAGAAAAGGAAATAACTTCACCTAAAACCTAGACAGAAGCAATCTCAGAAACTACTTTGTGATGTGTACATTCAACTCACAGAGTGGAACTTTCCTCTTTATAGAGCAGTGTTGAAACACTCTTTTTGTAGAAACTGCAAGTGGATATGTGGACCTCTTTGAGGCCCTCGTTGGAAACGGGATTTCTTCCTATAACCCTAGACAGAAGAATTTTCAGAAACCTCATTGTGATGTGTGCGTTCATCTCACAGAGTGGAGTCTTCCGTTTGATAGAGAAGTTTTGAAACCCTGTTCTTGTAGGATTTCCAAGTGGATATTTAGACCACTTTGAAGCCTATGATAGAAAAGGAAACATCTTCATGGAAAACATAGATAGAATCATTCTCAGAAACAACTTTGTGATGTGTGCGTTGAACTCACCGTCTTTAACCTTTCTTTTGGTAGAGAAGTTTTGAAACACTCTCTTTGTAAAGTCTACAAGTGGATATTTTGAGCCCTTGGAGGCATTCTTTGGAAAAGGGAATGTCTTCACATAAAAGGCAGACAGAAAGTGTTCTCAGAAACTGCTTTGTGATGTCTGTGTTCAACTCACAGAGTTTAACATTTCCTTTGAGAGAGCGGTTTAGTAACACTCTCTTTGTAGAATTTGGAAGTGTATACTAAGAGCGCTTTGAGGCCTATCGTAGAAAAGGAAATATCTTTCCATAAAAGCTAGACAGAAGCAATCTCAGAAACTCCTTTGTGATGTCTGCATTCAACTCACCGAGTGGAACATTCCTCTTGATAGAGCAGTTTGGAAACACTCTTTCTGTAGAATCAGCTTGTTTGTATTTGGACCTCCTTGAGGCCTTCGTTGGAAACGGGTTTTCATCTTATAAACCCAGACAGAAGAATTCTCAGAGTCTTCTTTGTGATGTGTGCTTTCAACTCACCGAGATAAAGATTTCTCTTGATAGAGCAATTTGGAAACACTCTTTTTGTAGAATTTGCAAGGGTACATTGGGAGCGCTTTCAGGCCTATGGTAGAAAAGGGAATATCTTTCCATAAAAGGTAGACAGAAGCAATCTCAGAAACTACTTTGTGATGTGTGCATTCAACTCACCGAGTGCAACATTCCTCTTGATAGAGCAGTTTGGAAACATTGTTTCTGTAGAATCTGCAAGTGGATATATGGACCGCTTTGAGGCCTTCGTTGGAAACGGGATTTCTTCCTATAAACCCAGACAGAAGAATTCTCAGAGATTTCTTTGTGATGTGTGAATTCAACTCACAGTGTGGATCCTTCCTTTTGATAGAGCAGTTTTGAAACACTGTTTTTGTAGTATTTCCAAGCGGATATTTGGAACGCCTTGAAGCGTATGGTAGAAAAGGAAATATCTTCCCATAAAACCTAGACAGAACCCATCTCAGAAACGACTTTGTGATGTCTGCATTCAACTCACAGAGTTGAACATTTCTCTTGATAGAGCAGTTTTGAAACCCTCTTTCTGAAGGATCTGCAAGTGGATATTTGGAACTCCTTTGGGTCTTCGTTGGAAACGGGATTTCTTCGTATAAATCCAGACAGAAGAATTCTCCGAAACTTCTTTGGTTGTGTGCATTCAAGTCACAGAGTGGAACCTTCCTTTGGATAGAGCAGTTTGAAACGCTGTGGTTGTAGTATTTCCAAGCGGATATTAGAGCGCCTTGAAGCCTATGGTAGAAAAGGAAATATCTTCCCATAAAACCTAGACGGAAGCAATCTCAGAAACTACTGTGTGATGGCTGCATTCCACACACACGGTGGAACATTTCTGTTGATAGAGCAGTTTTGAAACACTCTTTCTGTAGAATCTGCAAGTGGATAATTGGACCGCCTTGAGGCCTTCGTTGGAAACGGGATTTCTTCATGTTACTCTAGACAGAAGAATTCTCAAACACTGCTATGTGATGTTTGCATTCAAGTCACAGAGTGCAACATTCCTCTTGATAGAGCAGTTGGGAAACACTCCTTTTGTAGAATTTGCAATGGGATATTTGGACTTCTTTGAGGCCTTCGTTGGAAACGGGATTTCTTCGTATGAATCTAGACAGAAGAATTCTCAGAAACTTCCTTGTGATGTGTGCATTCAACTCAGCGAGTGGCACCTTCCTTTGGATACAGCAGTTTTGAAACACTGTTTTTGTAGTATTTCCAAGCGGATATTTAGAGCGCCTTGAAGCCTATGCTAGAAATGGAAATATCTCCCCATAAAACCAAGACAGAAGCAATCTCAGAAACTAATGTGTGATGGCTGCATTCCACACACACGGTGGACCATTTCTCTTGATAGAGCAGTTTTGAAACACTCTTTCTGTAGAATCTGCAAGTGGATAATTGGACCTCCTAGAGGCCTTCGTTGGAAACGGGATTTCTTCATCTAAACCTACAGAGAAGAATTCTCAGTAACTTCTTCGGATGTGTGCATTCGACTCACAGAATGGAACATTCCCTTTGATAGAGCAGTTTTGAGACACCGTTTTTGTAGAATTCCCAAGTGGATATTTAGAGCACTTTGAAGTCTCTGCTAGAAAAGGAAACATCTTCATGTAAAAAGTAGATAGAATCGTTCTCAGAAAGTGCTTAGTGACGTGTGCGTTCAACTCACAGAGTTTAACGTTTCTTTTGATAGAGCGTTTCTGAAACACCCTTCTTGTAGTAGCTGCAAGTGGATATTTGGACCTATTTGAGGCCTTCTTTGGAAACGGGTTTTCTTCATGTAACTCTAGATTGAAGAATTTTCAGAAACTCCTTTGTGATGTGTGCATTCAATTCAAAGAGTGAAACCTCCCTTTTCACAGAGCAGTTTTGAAACACTGTTTTTGTAGGATTTCCAAGGGGATATTTATAGCGCATTGATCCTATGGCAGAAAGAGAAACATCTTCCTATAAAAACTAGACAGAATAATTCTCAGAGTCTGCTTTGCGATGTGTGCGTTCATCTCACAGAGTAAAACTTTTCTTTTGATAGAACAGTTTTGAAACACTCTTTTTGTAGTATTTGCATGTGTATATTTAGAGCGCATTGAAGCACACAGTAGAAAAGGAAATAACTTCACCTAAAACCTAGACAGAAGCAATCTCAGAAACTATTTTGTGATGTGTACATTCAACTCACAGAGTGGAACTTTCCTCTTTATAGAGCAGTGTTGAAACACTCTTTTTGTAGAAACTGCAAGTGGATATTTGGACCTCTTTGACGCCTTCGTTGGAAACGGGATTTCTTCCTATAACCCTAGACAGAAGAATTTTCAGAAACCTCATTGTGATGTGTGCGTTCATCTCACAGAGTGGAGTCTTCCGTTTGATAGAGAAGTTTTGAAACCCTGTTCTTGTAGGATTTCCAAGTGGATATTTAGACCACTTTGAAGCCTATGATAGAAAAGGAAACATCTTCATGGAAAACATAGATAGAATCATTCTCAGAAACAACTTTGTGATGTGTGCGTTGAACTCACCGTCTTTAACCTTTCTTTTGGTAGAGAAGTTTTGAAACACTCTCTTTGTAAAGTCTACAAGTGGATATTTTGAGCCCTTGGAGGCATTCTTTGGAAAAGGGAATGTCTTCACATAAAAGGCAGACAGAAAGTGTTCTCAGAAACTGCTTTGTGATGTCTGTGTTCAACTCACAGAGTTTAACATTTCCTTTGAGAGAGCGGTTTAGTAACACTCTCTTTGTAGAATTTGGAAGTGTATACTAAGAGCGCTTTGAGGCCTATGGTAGAAAAGGAAATATCTTTCCATAAAAGCTAGACAGAAGCAATCTCAGAAACTCCTTTGTGATGTCTGCATTCAACTCACCGAGTGGAACATTCCTCTTGATAGAGCAGTTTGGAAACACTCTTTCTGTAGAATCAGCTTGTTTGTATTTGGACCTCCTTGAGGCCTTCGTTGGAAACGGGTTTTCATCTTATAAACCCAGACAGAAGAATTCTCAGAGTCTTCTTTGTGATGTGTGCTTTCAACTCACCGAGATAAAGATTTCTCTTGATAGAGCAATTTGGAAACACTCTTTTTGTAGAATTTGCAAGGGTACATTGAGAGCGCTTTCAGGCCTATGGTAGAAAAGGGAATATCTTTCCATAAAAGGTAGACAGAAGCAATCTCAGAAACTATTTTGTGATGTGTGCATTCAACTCACCGAGTGCAACATTCCTCTTGACCGAGCAGTTTGGAAACATTGTTTCTGTAGAATCTGCAAGTGGATATTTGGACCTCTTTGAGGCCTTCGTTGGAAACGGGATTTCTTCCTATAAACCCAGACAGAAGAATTCTCAGAGACTTCTTTGTGATGTGTGAATTCAACTCACAGTGTGGATCCTTCCTTTTGATAGAGCAGTTTTGAAACACTGTTTTTGTAGTATTTCCAAGCGGATATTTGGAACGCCTTGAAGCGTATGGTAGAAAAGGAAATATCTTCCCATAAAACCTAGACAGAACCAATCTCAGAAACGACTTTGTGATGTCTGCATTCAACTCACAGAGTTGAACATTTCTCTTGATAGAGCAGTTTTGAAACCCTCTTTCTGAAGGATCTGCAAGTGGATATTTGGAACTCCTTTGGGTCTTCGTTGGAAACGGGATTTCTTCGTATAAATCTAGACAGAAGAATTCTCCGAAACATCTTTGGTTGTGTGCATTCAACTCACAGAGTGGAACCTTCCTTTGGATAGAGCAGTTTGAAACGCTGTGGTTGTAGTATTTCCAAGCGGATATTAGAGCGCCTTGAGGCCTATGGTAGAAAAGGAAATATCTTCCCATAAAACCTAGACGGAAGCAATCTCAGAAACTACTGTGTGATGGCTGCATTCCACACACACGGTGGAACATTTCTCTTGATAGAGCAGTTTTGAAACACTCTTTCTGTAGAATCTGCAAGTGGATAATTGGACCGCCTTGAGGCCTTCGTTGGAAACGGGATTTCTTCATGTTACTCTAGACAGAAGAATTCTCAAACACTGCTATGTGATGTTTGCATGCAAGTCACAGAGTGCAACATTCCTCTTGATAGAGCAGTTGGGAAACACTCCTTTTGTAGAATTTGCAATGGGATATTTGGACTTCTTTGAGGCC
Organism: Homo sapiens; assembly: GCF_000001405.40. Lineage (NCBI taxonomy): Eukaryota > Metazoa > Chordata > Mammalia > Primates > Hominidae > Homo > Homo sapiens. The sequence continues at coordinate 59,349,736 of NC_000006.12, forward strand.
TTCGTTGGAAACGGGATTTCTTCGTATGAATCTAGACAGAAGAATTCTCAGAAACTTCCTTGTGATGTGTGCATTCAACTCAGCGAGTGGCACCTTCCTTTGGATACAGCAGTTTTGAAACACTGTTTTTGTAGTATTTCCAAGCGGATATTTAGAGCGCCTTGAAGCCTATGCTAGAAATGGAAATATCTCCCCATAAAACCAAGACAGAAGCAATCTCAGAAACTAATGTGTGATGGCTGCATTCCACACACACGGTGGACCATTTCTCTTGATAGAGCAGTTTTGAAACACTCTTTCTGTAGAATCTGCAAGTGGATAATTGGACCTCCTAGAGGCCTTCGTTGGAAACGGGATTTCTTCATCTAAACCTACAGAGAAGAATTCTCAGTAACTTCTTCGGATGTGTGCATTCGACTCACAGAATGGAACATTCCCTTTGATAGAGCAGTTTTGAGACACCGTTTTTGTAGAATTCCCAAGTGGATATTTAGAGCACTTTGAAGTCTCTGCTAGAAAAGGAAACATCTTCATGTAAAAAGTAGATAGAATCGTTCTCAGAAAGTGCTTAGTGACGTGTGTGTTCAACTCACAGAGTTTATCGTTTCTTTTGATAGAGCGTTTCTGAAACACCCTTCTTGTAGTAGCTGCAAGTGGATATTTGGACCTATTTGAGGCCTTCTTTGGAAACGGGATTTCTTCATGTAACTCTAGATTGAAGAATTTTCAGAAACTCCTTTGTGATGTGTGCATTCAATTCAAAGAGTGAAACCTCCCTTTTCACAGAGCAGTTTTGAAACACTGTTTTTGTAGGACTTCCAAGGGGATATTTATAGCGCATTGATCCTATGGCAGAAAAAGAAACATCTTCCTATAAAAACTAGACAGAATAATTCTCAGAATCTGCTTTGCGATGTGTGCGTTCAACTCACAGAGTAAAACTTTTCTTTTGATAGAGCAGTTTTGAAACACTCTTTTTGTAGTATTTGCATGTGTATATTTAGAGCGCATTGAAGCCCACAGTAGAAAAGGAAATAACTTCACCTAAAACCTAGACAGAAGCAATCTCAGAAACTACTTTGTGATGTGTACATTCAACTCACAGAGTGGAACTTTCCTCTTTATAGAGCAGTGTTGAAACACTCTTTTTGTAGAAACTGCAAGTGGATATTTGGACCTCTTTGAGGCCTTCGTTGGAAACGGGATTTCTTCCTATAACCCTAGACAGAAGAATTTTCAGAAACCTCATTGTGATGTGTGCGTTCATCTCACAGAGTGGAGTCTTCCGTTTGATAGAGAAGTTTTGAAACCCTGTTCTTGTAGGATTTCCAAGTGGATATTTAGACCACTTTGAAGCCTATGATAGAAAAGGAAACATCTTCATGGAAAACATAGATAGAATCATTCTCAGAAACAACTTTGTGATGTGTGCGTTGAACTCACCGTCTTTAACCTTTCTTTTGGTAGAGAAGTTTTGAAACACTCTCTTTGTAAAGTCTACAAGTGGATATTTTGAGCCCTTGGAGGCATTCTTTGGAAAAGGGAATGTCTTCACATAAAAGGCAGACAGAAGTGTTCTCAGAAACTGCTTTGTGATGTCTGTGTTCAACTCACAGAGTTTAACATTTCCTTTGAGAGAGCGGTTTAGTGACACTCTCTTTGTAGAATTTGGAAGTGTATACTAAGAGCGCTTTGAGGCCTATGGTAGAAAAGGAATTATCTTTCCATAAAAGCTAGACAGAAGCAATCTCAGAAACTCCTTTGTGATGTCTGCATTCAACTCACCGAGTGGAACATTCCTCTTGATAGAGCAGTTTGGAAACACTCTTTCTGTAGAATCAGCTTGTTTGTATTTGGACCTCCTTGAGGCCTTCGTTGGAAACGGGTTTTCATCTTATAAACTCAGACAGAAGAATTCTCAGAGTCTTCTTTGTGATGTGTGCTTTCAACTCACCGAGATAAAGATTTCTCTTGATAGAGCAATTTGGAAACACTCTTTTTGTAGAATTTGCAAGGGTACATTGAGAGCGCTTTCAGGCCTATGGTAGAAAAGGGAATATCTTTCCATAAAAGGTAGACAGAAGCAATCTCAGAAACTACTTTGTGATGTGTGCATTCAACTCACCGAGTGCAACATTCCTCTTGATAGAGCAGTTTGGAAACATTGTTTCTGTAGAATCTGCAAGTGGATATATGGACCGCTTTGAGGCCTTCGTTGGAAACGGGATTTCTTCCTATAAACCCAGACAGAAGAATTCTCAGAGATTTCTTTGTGATGTGTGAATTCAACTCACAGTGTGGATCCTTCCTTTTGATAGAGCAGTTTTGAAACACCGTTTTTGTAGTATTTCCAAGCGGATATTTGGAACGCCTTGAAGCGTATGGTAGAAAAGGAAATATCTTCCCATAAAACCTAGACAGAACCCATCTCAGAAACGACTTTGTGATGTCTGCATTCAACTCACAGAGTTGAACATTTCTCTTGATAGAGCAGTTTTGAAACCCTCTTTCTGAAGGATCTGCAAGTGGATATTTGGAACTCCTTTGGGTCTTCGTTGGAAACGGGATTTCTTCGTATAAATCCAGACAGAAGAATACTCCGAAACTTCTTTGGTTGTGTGCATTCAAGTCACAGAGTGGAACCTTCCTTTGGATAGAGCAGTTTGAAACGCTGTGGTTGTAGTATTTCCAAGCGGATATTAGAGCGCCTTGAAGCCTATGGTAGAAAAGGAAATATCTTCCCATAAAACCTAGACGGAAGCAATCTCAGAAACTACTGTGTGATGGCTGCATTCCACACACACGGTGGAACATTGCTCTTGATAGAGCAGTTTTGAAACACTCTTTCTGTAGAATCTGCAAGTGGATAATTGGACCGCCTTGAGGCCGTCGTTGGAAACGGGATTTCTTCATGTTACTCTAGACAGAAGAATTCTCAAACACTGCTATGTGATGTTTGCATTCAAGTCACAGAGTGCAACATTCCTCTTGATAGAGCAGTTGGGAAACACTCCTTTTGTAGAATTTGCAATGGGATATTTGGACTTCTTTGAGGCCTTCATTGGAAACGGGATTTCTTCGTATGAATCTAGACAGAAGAATTCTCAGAAACTTCCTTGTGATGTGTGCATTCAACTCAGCGAGTGGCACCTTCCTTTCGATACAGCAGTTTTGAAACACTGTTTTTGTAGTATTTCCAAGCGGATATTTAGAGCGCCTTGAAGCCTATGCTAGAAATGGAAATATCTCCCCATAAAACCAAGACAGAAGCAATCTCAGAAACTAATGTGTGATGGCTGCATTCCACACACACGGTGGACCATTTCTCTTGATAGAGCAGTTTTGAAACACTCTTTCTGTAGAATCTGCAAGTGGATAATTGGACCTCCTAGAGGCCTTCGTTGGAAACGGGATTTCTTCATCTAAACCTACAGAGAAGAATTCTCAGTAACTTCTTCGGATGTGTGCATTCGACTCACCGAGTGGAACATTCCCTTCGATAGAGCAGTTTTGAGACACCGTTTTGGTAGAATTCCCAAGTGGATATTTAGAGCACTTTGAAGTCTCTGCTAGAAAAGGAAACATCTTCATGTAAAAAGTAGATAGAATCGTTCTCAGAAAGTGCTTAGTGACGTGTGCGTTCAACTCACAGAGTGTAACGTTTCTTTTGATAGAGCGTTTCTGAAACACCCTTCTTGTAGTAGCTGCAAGTGGATATTTGGACCTATTGGAGGCCTTCTTTGGAAACGGGATTTCTTCCTGTAACTCTAGATTGAAGAATTCTCAGAAACTCCTTTGTGATGTGTGCATTCAATTCAAAGAGTGAAACCTCCCTTTTCACAGAGCAGTTTTGAAACACTGTTTTTGTAGGATTTCCAAGGGGATATTTATAGCGCATTGAGCCTACGGCAGAAAAAGAAACACCTTCCTATAAAAACTAGACAGAATAATTCTCAGAATCTGGTTTGCCATGTGTGCGTTCAACTCACAGAGTAAAACATTTCTTTTGATAGAGCAGTCTTGAAACACTCTTTTTGTAGTATTTGCATGTGTATATTTAGAGCGCATTGAAGCCCACAGTAGAAAAGGAAATAACTTCACCTAAAACCTAGACAGAAGCAATCTCAGAAACTACTTTGTGATGTGTACATTCAACTCACAGAGTGGAACTTTCCTCTTTATAGAGCAGTGTTGAAACACTCTTTTTGTAGAAACTGCAAGTGGATATTTGGACCTCTTTGAGGCCTTCGTTGGAAACGGGATTTCTTCCTATAACCCTAGACAGAAGAATTTTCAGAAACCTCATTGTGATGTGTGCGTTCATCTCACAGAGTGGAGTCTTCCGTTTGATAGAGAAGTTTTGAAACCCTGTTCTTGTAGGATTTCCAAGTGGATATTTAGACCACTTTGAAGCCTATGATAGAAAAGGAAACATCTTCATGGAAAACATAGATAGAATCATTCTCAGAAACAACTTTGTGATGTGTGCGTTGAACTCACCGTCTTTAACCTTTCTTTTGGTAGAGAAGTTTTGAAACACTCTCTTTGTAAAGTCTACAAGTGGATATTTTGAGCCCTTGGAGGCATTCTTTGGAAAAGGGAATGTCTTCACATAAAAGGCAGACAGAAGTGTTCTCAGAAACTGCTTTGTGATGTCTGTGTTCAACTCACAGAGTTTAACATTTCCTTTGAGAGAGCGGTTTAGTAACACTCTCTTTGTAGAATTTGGAAGTGTATACTAAGAGCGCTTTGAGGCCTATGGTAGAAAAGGAAATATCTTTCCATAAAAGCTAGACAGAAGCAATCTCAGAAACTCCTTTGTGATGTCTGCATTCAACTCACCGAGTGGAACATTCCTCTTGATAGAGCAGTTTGGAAACACTCTTTCTGTAGAATCAGCTTGTTTGTATTTGGACCTCCTTGAGGCCTTCGTTGGAAACGGGTTTTCATCTTATAAACCCAGGCAGAAGAATTCTCAGAGTCTTCTTTGTGATGTGTGCTTTCAACTCACCGAGATAAAGATTTCTCTTGATAGAGCAATTTGGAAACACTCTTTTTGTAGAATTTGCAAGGGTACATTGAGAGCGCTTTCAGGCCTATGGTAGAAATGGTAGACAGAAGCAATCTCAGAAACTACTTTGTGATGTGTGCATTCAACTCACCGAGTGCAACATTCCTCTTGATAGAGCAGTTTGGAAACATTGTTTCTGTAGAATCTGCAAGTGGATATATGGACCGCTTTGAGGCCTTCGTTGGAAACGGGATTTCTTCCTATAAACCCAGACAGAAGAATTCTCAGAGACTTCTTTGTGATGTGTGAATTCAACTCACAGTGTGGATCCTTCCTTTTGATAGAGCAGTTTTGAAACACTGTTTTTGTAGTATTTCCAAGCGGATATTTGGAACGCCTTGAAGCGTATGGTAGAAAAGGAAATATCTTCCCATAAAACCTAGACAGAACCCATCTCAGAAACGACTTTGTGATGTCTGCATTCAACTCACAGAGTTGAACATTTCTCTTGATAGAGCAGTTTTGAAACCCTCTTTCGGAAGGATCTGCAAGTGGATATTTGGAACTCCTTTGGGTCTTCGTTGGAAACGGGATTTCTTCATATAAATCCAGACAGAAGAATTCTCCGAAACTTCTTTGGTTGTGTGCATTCAAGTCACAGAGTGGAACCTTCCTTTGGATAGAGCAGTTTGAAACGCTGTGGTTGTAGTATTTCCAAGCGGATATTAGAGCGCCTTGAAGCCTATGGTAGAAAAGGAAATATCTTCCCATAAAACCTAGACGGAAGCAATCTCAGAAACTACTGTGTGATGGCTGCATTCCACACACACGGTGGAACATTTCTCTTGATAGAGCAGTTTTGAAACACTCTTTCTGTAGAATCTGCAAGTGGATAATTGGACCGCCTTGAGGCCTTCGTTGGAAACGGGATTTCTTCATGTTACTCTAGACAGAAGAATTCTCAAACACTGCTGTGTGATGTTTGCATGCAAGTCACAGAGTGCAACATTCCTCTTGATAGAGCAGTTGGGAAACACTCCTTTTGTAGAATTTGCAATGGGATATTTGGACTTCTTTGAGGCCTTCGTTGGAAACGGGATTTCTTCGTATGAATCTAGACAGAAGAATTCTCAGAAACTTCCTTGTGATGTGTGCATTCAACTCAGCGAGTGGCACCTTCCTTTGGATACAGCAGTTTTGAAACACTGTTTTTGTAGTATTTCCAAGCGGATATTTAGAGCGCCTTGAAGCCTATGCTAGAAATGGAAATATCTCCCCATAAAACCAAGACAGAAGCAATCTCAGAAACTAATGTGTGATGGCTGCATTCCACACACACGGTGGACCATTTCTCTTGATAGAGCAGTTTTGAAACACTCTTTCTGTAGAATCTGCAAGTGGATAATTGGACCTCCTAGAGGCCTTCGTTGGAAACGGGATTTCTTCATCTAAACCTACAGAGAAGAATTCTCAGTAACTTCTTCGGATGTGTGCATTCGACTCACAGAATGGAACATTCCCTTTGATAGAGCAGTTTTGAGACACCGTTTTTGTAGAATTCCCAAGTGGATATTTAGAGCACTTTGAAGTCTCTGCTAGAAAAGGAAACATCTTCATGTAAAAAGTAGATAGAATCGTTCTCAGAAAGTGCTTAGTGACGTGTGTGTTCAACTCACAGAGTTTAACGTTTCTTTTGATAGAGCGTTTCTGAAACACCCTTCTTGTAGTAGCTGCAAGTGGATATTTGGACCTATTTGAGGCCTTCTTTGGAAACGGGATTTCTTCATGTAACTCCTAGTTTGAAGAATTCTCAGAAACTCCTTTGTGATGTGTGCATTCAACTCACAGAGTGAAACCTTCCTTTTGACAGAGCAGTTTTGAAACACTGTTTTTGTAGGATTTCCAAGGGGATATTTAGAGCGCCTTGAAGCCTACGGTAGAAAAAGAAACATCTTCATATAAAAACTAGACAGAATAATTCTCAGAATCTGCTTTGCGATGTGTGCGTTCAACACACAGAGTAAAACGTTTCTTTGGATAGAGCAGTTTTGAAACACTCTTTTTTCAGTATTTGCAAGTGTATATTAAGAGCGCATTGAAGCCCACGGTAGAAAAGGAAATATCTTCACCTAAAACCTAGACAGAAGCAATCTCAGAAACTAATTTGGGATGTGTGCATTCAACTCACAGAGTGGAACTTTCCTCTTTATAGAGCAGTGTTGAAACACTCTTTTTGTAGAAACTGCCAGTGGATATTTGGACCTCTTTGAGGCCTTCGTTGGAAATGGGATTTCTTCACATATCCCCAGACAGAAGAATTTTCTGAAACCTCATTGTGATGTGTGCGTTCATCTCACAGAGTGGAGACTTCCTTTTATTAGAGAACTTTTGAATCCCTATTCTTGTAGGATTTACAAGTGGAAATTTAGACCACTTTGAAGCCTATGATAGAAAAGGAAACATCTTCATGGAAAACATAGATAGAATCATTCTCAGAAACAACTTTGTGATGTGTGCGTTGAACTCACAGACTTTATCCTTTCTTTTGGTAGAGAAGTTTTGAAACACTCTCTTTGTAAAGTCTACAAGTGGATATTTTGAGCCCTTGGAGGCATTCTTTGGAAAAGGGAATGTCTTCACATAAAAGGCAGACAGGAAGTGTTCTCAGAAACTGCTTTGTGATGTCTGTGTTCAACTCACAGAGTTTAACATTTCCTTTGAGAGAGCGGTTTAGTAACACTCTCTTTGTAGAATTTGGAAGTGTATACTAAGAGCGCTTTGAGGCCTATGGTAGAAAAGGAAATATCTTTCCATAAAAGCTAGACAGAAGCAATCTCAGAAACTCCTTTGTGATGTCTGCATTCAACTCACCGAGTGGAACATTCCTCTTGATAGAGCAGTTTGGAAACACTCTTTCTGTAGAATCAGCTTGTTTGTATTTGGACCTCCTTGAGGCCTTCGGTTGGAAACGGGTTTTCATCTTATAAACCCAGACAGAAGAATTCTCAGAGTCTTCTTTGTGATGTGTGCTTTCAACTCACCGAGATAAAGATTTCTCTTGATAGAGCAATTTGGAAACACTCTTTTTGTAGAATTTGCAAGGGTACATTGAGAGCGCTTTCAGGCCTATGGTAGAAAAGGGAATATCTTTCCATAAAAGGTAGACAGAAGCAATCTCAGAAACTACTTTGTGATGTGTGCATTCAACTCACCGAGTGCAACATTCCTCTTGACCGAGCAGTTTGGAAACATTGTTTCTGTAGAATCTGCAAGTGGATATTTGGACCTCTTTGAGGCCTTCGTTGGAAACGGGATTTCTTCCTATAAACCCAGACAGAAGAATTCTCAGAGACTTCTTTGTGATGTGTGAATTCAACTCACAGTGTGGATCCTTCCCTTTTGATAGAGCAGTTTTGAAACACTGTTTTGGTAGTATTTACAAGCGGATATTTGGAACGCCTTGAAGCGTATGGTAGAAAAGGAAATATCTTCCCATAAAACCTAGACAGAACCCATTCTCAGAAACGACTTTGTGATGTCTGCATTCAACTCACAGAGTTGAACATTTCTCTTGATAGAGCAGTTTTGAAACCCTCTTTCTGAAGGAGCTGCAAGTGGATATTTGGAACTCCTTTGGGTCTTCGTTGGAAACGGGATTTCTTCGTATAAATCCAGACAGAAGAATTCTCCGAAACTTCTTTGGTTGTGTGCATTCAAGTCACAGAGTGGAACCTTCCTTTGGATAGAGCAGTTTGAAACGCTGTGGTTGTAGTATTTCCAAGCGGATATTAGAGCGCCTTGAAGCCTATGGTAGAAAAGGAAATATCTTCCCATAAAACCTAGACGGAAGCAATCTCAGAAACTACTGTGTGATGGCTGCATTCCACACACACGGTGGAACATTTCTCTTGATAGAGCAGTTTTGAAACACTCTTTCTGTAGAATCTGCAAGTGGATAATTGGACCGCCTTGAGGCCTTCGTTGGAAACGGGATTTCTTCATGTTACTCTAGACAGAAGAATTCTCAAACACTGCTATGTGATGTTTGCATTCAAGTCACAGAGTGCAACATTCCTCTTGATAGAGCAGTTGGGAAACACTCCTTTTGTAGAATTTGCAATGGGATATTTGGACTTCTTTGAGGCCTTCGTTGGAAACGGGATTTCTTCGTATGAATCTAGACAGAAGAATTCTCAGAAACTTCCTTGTGATGTGTGCATTCAACTCAGCGAGTGGCACCTTCCTTTGGATACAGCAGTTTTGAAACACTGTTTTTGTAGTATTTCCAAGCGGATATTTAGAGCGCCTTGAAGCCTATGCTAGAAATGGAAATATCTCCCCATAAAACCAAGACAGAAGCAATCTCAGAAACTAATGTGTGATGGCTGCATTCCACACACACGGTGGACCATTTCTCTTGATAGAGCAGTTTTGAAACACTCTTTCTGTAGAATCTGCAAGTGGATAATTGGACCTCCTAGAGGCCTTCGTTGGAAATAGGATTTCTTCATCTAAACCTACAGAGAAGAATTCTCAGTAACTTCTTCGGATGTGTGCATTCGACTCACAGAATGGAACATTCCCTTTGATAGAGCAGTTTTGAGACACCGTTTTTGTAGAATTCCCAAGTGGATATTTAGAGCACTTTGAAGTCTCTGCTAGAAAAGGAAACATCTTCATGTAAAAAGTAGATAGAATCGTTCTCAGAAAGTGCTTAGTGACGTGTGTGTTCAACTCACAGAGTTTAACGTTTCTTTTGATAGAGCGTTTCTGAAACACCCTGCTTGTAGTAGCTGCAAGTGGATATTTGGACCTATTTGAGGCCTTCTTTGGAAACGGGATTTCTTCATGTAACTCTAGTTTGAAGAATTTTCAGAAACTCCTTTGTGATGTGTGCATTCAATTCAAAGAGTGAAACCTCCCTTTTCACAGAGCAGTTTTGAAACACTGTTTTTGTAGGATTTCCAAGGGGATATTTATAGCGCATTGAGCCTATGGCAGAAAAAGAAACATCTTCCTATAAAAACTAGACAGAATAATTCTCAGAATCTGCTTTGCGATGTGTGCGTTCAACTCACAGAGTAAAACTTTTCTTTTGATAGAGCAGTTTTGAAACACTCTTTTTGTAGTATTTGCATGTGTATATTTAGAGCGCATTGAAGCCCACAGTAGAAAAGGAAATAACTTCACCTAAAACCTAGACAGAAGCAATCTCAGAAACTACTTTGTGATGTGTACATTCAACTCACAGAGTGGAACTTTTCTCTTTATAGAGCAGTGTTGAAACACTCTTTTTGTAGAAACTGCAAGTGGATATTTGGACCTCTTTGAGGCCTTCGTTGGAAACGGGATTTCTTCCTATAACCCTAGACAGAAGAATTTTCAGAAACCTCATTGTGATGTGTGCGTTCATCTCACAGAGTGGAGTCTTCCGTTTGATAGAGAAGTTTTGAAACCCTGTTCTTGTAGGATTTCCAAGTGGATATTTAGACCACTTTGAAGCCTATGATAGAAAAGGAAACATCTTTCATGGAAAACATAGATAGAATCATTCTCAGAAACAACTTTGTGATGTGTGCGTTGAACTCACCGTCTTTAACCTTTCTTTTGGTAGAGAAGTTTTGAAACACTCTCTTTGTAAAGTCTACAAGTGGATATTTTGAGCCCTTGGAGGCATTCTTTGGAAAAGGGAATGTCTTCACATAAAAGGCAGACAGAAGTGTTCTCAGAAACTGCTTTGTGATGTCTGTGTTCAACTCACAGAGTTTAACATTTCCTTTGAGAGAGCGGTTTAGTAACACTCTCTTTGTAGAATTTGGAAGTGTATACTAAGAGCGCTTTGAGGCCTATGGTAGAAAAGGAAATATCTTTCCATAAAAGCTAGACAGAAGCAATCTCAGAAACTCCTTTGTGATGTCTGCATTCAACTCACCGAGTGGAACATTCCTCTTGATAGAGCAGTTTGGAAACACTCTTTCTGTAGAATCAGCTTGTTTGTATTTGGACCTCCTTGAGGCCTTCGTTGGAAACGGGTTTTCATCTTATAAACCCAGACAGAAGAATTCTCAGAGTCTTCTTTGTGATGTGTGCTTTCAACTCACCGAGATAAAGATTTCTCTTGATAGAGCAATTTGGAAACACTCTTTTTGTAGAATTTGCAAGGGTACATTGAGAGCGCTTTCAGGCCTATGGTAGAAAAGGTAGACAGAAGCAATCTCAGAAACTACTTTGTGATGTGTGCATTCAACTCACCGAGTGCAACATTCCTCTTGATAGAGCAGTTTGGAAACATTGTTTCTGTAGAATCTGCAAGTGGATATATGGACCGCTTTGAGGCCTTCGTTGGAAACGGGATTTCTTCCTATAAACCCAGACAGAAGAATTCTCAGAGATTTCTTTGTGATGTGTGAATTCAACTCACAGTGTGGATCCTTCCTTTTGATAGAGCAGTTTTGAAACACTGTTTTTGTAGTATTTCCAAGCGGATATTTGGAACGCCTTGAAGCGTATGGTAGAAAAGGAAATATCTTCCCATAAAACCTAGACAGAACCCATCTCAGAAACGACTTTGTGATGTCTGCATTCAACTCACAGAGTTGAACATTTCTCTTGATAGAGCAGTTTTGAAACCCTCTTTCTGAAGGATCTGCAAGTGGATATTTGGAACTCCTTTGGGTCTTCGTTGGAAACGGGATTTCTTCGTATAAATCCAGACAGAAGAATTCTCTGAAACTTCTCTGGTTGTGTGCATTCAAGTCACAGAGTGGAACCTTCCTTTGGATAGAGCAGTTTGAAACGCTGTGGTTGTAGTATTTCCAAGCGGATATTAGAGCGCCTTGAGGCCTATGGTAGAAAAGGAAATATCTTCCCATAAAACCTAGACGGAAGCAATCTCAGAAACTACTGTGTGATGGCTGCATTCCACACACACGGTGGAACATTTCTCTTGATAGAGCAGTTTTGAAACACTCTTTCTGTAGAATCTGCAAGTGGATAATTGGACCGCCTTGAAGCCTTCGTTGGAAACGGGATTTCTTCATGTTACTCTAGACAGAAGAATTCTCAAACACTGCTATGTGATGTTTGCATTCAAGTCACAGAGTGCAACATTCCTCTTGATAGAGCAGTTGGGAAACACTCCTTTTGTAGAATTTGCAATGGGATATTTGGACTTCTTTGAGGCCTTCGTTGGAAACGGGATTTCTTCGTATGAATCTAGACAGAAGAATTCTCAGAAACTTCCTTGTGATGTGTGCATTCAACTCAGCGAGTGGCACCTTCCTTTGGATACAGCAGTTTTGAAACACTGTTTTTGTAGTATTTCCAAGCGGATATTTAGAGCGCCTTGAAGCCTATGCTAGAAATGGAAATATCTCCCCATAAAACCAAGACAGAAGCAATCTCAGAAACTAATGTGTGATGGCTGCATTCCACACACACGGTGGACCATTTCTCTGGATAGAGCAGTTTTGAAACACTCTTTCTGTAGAATCTGCAAGTGGATAATTGGACCTCCTAGAGGCCTTCGTTGGAAACGGGATTTCTTCATCTAAACCTACAGAGAAGAATTCTCAGTAACTTCTTCGGATGTGTGCATTCGACTCACAGAATGGAACATTCCCTTTGATAGAGCAGTTTTGAGACACCGTTTTTGTAGAATTCCCAAGTGGATATTTAGAGCACTTTGAAGTCTCTGCTAGAAAAGGAAACATCTTCATGTAAAAAGTAGATAGAATCGTTCTCAGAAAGTGCTTAGTGACGTGTGTGTTCAACTCACAGAGTTTAACATTTCTTTTGATAGAGCGTTTCTGAAACACCCTTCTTGTAGTAGCTGCAAGTGGATATTTGGACCTATTTGAGGCCTTCTTTGGAAACGGGATTTCTTCATGTAACTCTAGTTTGAAGAATTTTCAGAAACTCCTTTGTGATGTGTGCATTCAATTCAAAGAGTGAAACCTCCCTTTTCACAGAGCAGTTTTGAAACACTGTTTTTGTAGGATTTCCAAGGGGATATTTATAGCGCATTGAGCCTACGGCAGAAAAAGAAACATCTTCCTATAAAAACTAGACAGAATAATTCTCAGAATCTGCTTTGCGATGTGTGCGTTCAACTCACAGAGTAAAACTTTTCTTTTGATAGAGCAGTTTTGAAACACTCTTTTTGTAGTATTTGCATGTGTATATTTAGAGCGCATTGAAGCCCACAGTAGAAAAGGAAATAACTTCACCTAAAACCTAGACAGAAGCAATCTCAGAAACTACTTTGTGATGTGTACATTCAACTCACAGAGTGGACCTTTCCTCTTTATAGAGCAGTGTTGAAACACTCTTTTTGTAGAAACTGCAAGTGGATATTTGGACCTCTTTGAGGCCTTCGTTGGAAACGGGATTTCTTCCTATAACCCTAGACAGAAGAATTTTCAGAAACCTCATTGTGATGTGTGCGTTCATCTCACAGAGTGGAGTCTTCCGTTTGATAGAGAAGTTTTGAAACCCTGTTCTTGTAGGATTTCCAAGTGGTTATTTAGACCACTTTGAAGCCTATGATAGAAAAGGAAACATCTTCATGGAAATCATAGATAGAATCATTGTCAGAAACAACTTTGTGATGTGTGCGTTGAACTCACCGTCTTTAACCTTTCTTTTGGTAGAGAAGTTTTGAAACACTCTCTTTGTAAAGTCTACAAGTGGATATTTTGAGCCCTTGGAGGCATTCTTTGGAAAAGGGAATGTCTTCACATAAAAGGCAGACAGAAGTGTTCTCAGAAACTGCTTTGTGATGTCTGTGTTCAACTCACAGAGTTTAACATTTCCTTTGAGAGAGCGGTTTAGTAACACTCTCTTTGTAGAATTTGGAAGTGTATACTAAGAGCCGCTTTGAGGCCTATGGTAGAAAAGGAAATATCTTTCCATAAAAGCTAGACAGAAGCAATCTCAGAAACTCCTTTGTGATGTCTGCATTCAACTCACCGAGTGGAACATTCCTCTTGATAGAGCAGTTTGGAAACACTCTTTCTGTAGAATCAGCTTGTTTGTATTTGGACCTCCTTGAGGCCTTCGTTGGAAACGGGTTTTCATCTTATAAACCCAGACAGAAGAATTCTCAGAGTCTTCTTTGTGATGTGTGCTTTCAACTCACTGAGATAAAGATTTCTCTTGATAGAGCAATTTGGAAACACTCTTTTTGTAGAATTTGCAAGGGTACATTGAGAGCGCTTTCAGGCCTATGGTAGAAAAGGGAATATCTTTCCATAAAAGGTAGACAGAAGCAATCTCAGAAACTACTTTGTGATGTGTGCATTCAACTCACCGAGTGCAACATTCCTCTTGACCGAGCAGTTTGGAAACATTGTTTCTGTAGAATCTGCAAGTGGATATATGGACCGCTTTGAGGCCTTCGTTGGAAACGGGATTTCTTCCTATAAACCCAGACAGAAGAATTCTCAGAGATTTCTTTGTGATGTGTGAATTCAACTCACAGTGTGGATCCTTCCTTTTGATAGAGCAGTTTTGAAACACTGTTTTTGTAGTATTTCCAAGCGGATATTTGGAACGCCTTGAAGCGTAAGGTAGAAAAGGAAATATCTTCCCATAAAACCTAGACAGAACCAATCTCAGAAACGACTTTGTGATGTCTGCATTCAACTCACAGAGTTGAACATTTCTCTTGATAGAGCAGTTTTGAAACCCTCTTTCTGAAGGATCTGCAAGTGGATATTTGGAACTCCTTTGGGTACTTCGTTGGAAACGGGATTTCTTCGTATAAATCTAGACAGAATTCTCCGAAACATCTTTGGTTGTGTGCATTCAACTCACAGAGTGGAACCTTCCTTTGGATAGAGCAGTTTGAAACGCTGTGGTTGTAGTATTTCCAAGCGGATATTAGAGCGCCTTGAGGCCTATGGTAGAAAAGGAAATATCTTCCCATAAAACCTAGACGGAAGCAATCTCAGAAACTACTGTGTGATGGCTGCATTCCACACACACGGTGGAACATTTCTCTTGATAGAGCAGTTTTGAAACACTCTTTCTGTAGAATCTGCAAGTGGATAATTGGACCGCCTTGAGGCCTTCGTTGGAAACGGGATTTCTTCATGTTACTCTAGACAGAAGAATTCTCAAACACTGCTATGTGATGTTTGCATTCAAGTCACAGAGTGCAACATTCCTCTTGATAGAGCAGTTGGGAAACACTCCTTTTGTAGAATTTGCAATGGGATATTTGGACTTCTTTGAGGCCTTCGTTGGAAACGGGATTTCTTCGTATGAATCTAGACAGAAGAATTCTCAGAAACTTTCCTTGTGATGTGTGCATTCAACTCAGCGAGTGGCACCTTCCTTTGGATACAGCAGTTTTGAAACACTGTTTTTGTAGTATTTCCAAGCGGATATTTAGAGCGCCTTGAAGCCTATGCTAGAAATGGAAATATCTCCCCATAAAACCAAGACAGAAGCAATCTCAGAAACTAATGTGTGATGGCTGCATTCCACACACACGGTGGACCATTTCTCTTGATAGAGCAGTTTTGAAACACTCTTTCTGTAGAATCTGCAAGTGGATAATTGGACCTCCTAGAGGCCTTCGTTGGAAACGGGATTTCTTCATCTAAACCTACAGAGAAGAATTCTCAGTAACTTCTTCGGATGTGTGCATTCGACTCACCAGAATGGAACATTCCCTTTGATAGAGCAGTTTTGAGACACCGTTTTTGTAGAATTCCCAAGTGGATATTTAGAGCACTTTGAAGTCTCTGCTAGAAAAGGAAACATCTTCATGTAAAAAGTAGATAGAATCGTTCTCAGAAAGTGCTTAGTGACGTGTGTGTTCAACTCACAGAGTTTAACGTTTCTTTTGATAGAGCGTTTCTGAAACACCCTTCTTGTAGTAGCTGCAAGTGGATATTTGGACCTATTTGAGGCCTTCTTTGGAAACGGGATTTCTTCATGTAACTCTAGTTTGAAGAATTTTCAGAAACTCCTTTGTGATGTGTGCATTCAATTCAAAGAGTGAAACCTCCCTTTTCACAGAGCAGTTTTGAAACACTGTTTTTGTAGGATTTCCAAGGGGATATTTTATAGCGCATTGAGCCTACGGCAGAAAAAGAAACATCTTCCTATAAAAACTAGACAGAATAATTCTCAGAATCTGCTTTGCGATGTGTGCGTTCAACCCACAGAGTAAAACTTTTCTTTTGATAGAGCAGTTTTGAAACACTCTTTTTGTAGTATTTGCATGTGTATATTTAGAGCGCATTGAAGCCCACAGTAGAAAAGGAAATAACTTCACCTAAAACCTAGACAGAAGCAATCTCAGAAACTACTTTGTGATGTGTACATTCAACTCACAGCGTGGAACTTTCCCCTTTACAGAGCAGTGTTGAAACACTCTTTTTGTAGAAACTGCTGGTGGATATTTGGACCTCTTTGAGGCCTTCGTTGGAAACGGGATTTCTTCCTATAACCCTAGACAGAAGAATTTTCAGAAACCTCATTGTGATGTGTGCGTTCATCTCACAGAGTGGAGTCTTCCGTTTGATAGAGAAGTTTTGAAACCCTGTTCTTGTAGGATCTCCAAGTGGATATTTAGAACACTTTGAAGCCTATGATAGAAAAGGAAACATCTTCATGGAAAACATAGATAGAATCATTCTCAGAAACAACTTTGTGATGTGTGCGTTGAACTCACCGTCTTTAACCTTTCTTTTGGTAGAGAAGTTTTGAAACACTCTCTTTGTAAAGTCTACAAGTGGATATTTTGAGCCCTTGGAGGCATTCTTTGGAAAAGGGAATGTCTTCACATAAAAGGCAGACAGAAGTGTTCTCAGAAACTGCTTTGTGATGTCTGTGTTCAACTCACAGAGTTTAACATTTCCTTTGAGAGAGCGGTTTAGTAACACTCTCTTTGTAGAATTTGGAAGTGTATACTAAGAGCCGCTTTGAGGCCTATGGTAGAAAAGGAAATATCTTTCCATAAAAGCTAGACAGAAGCAATCTCAGAAACTCCTTTGTGATGTCTGCATTCAACTCACCGAGTGGAACATTCCTCTTGATAGAGCAGTTTGGAAACACTCTTTCTGTAGAATCAGCTTGTTTGTATTTGGACCTCCTTGAGGCCTTCGTTGGAAACGGGTTTTCATCTTATAAACCCAGACAGAAGAATTCTCAGAGTCTTCTTTTTGATGTGTGCTTTCAACTCACCGAGATAAAGATTTCTCTTGATAGAGCAATTTGGAAACACTCTTTTTGTAGAATTTGCAAGGGTACATTGAGAGCGCTTTCAGGCCTATGGTAGAAAAGGGAATATCTTTCCATAAAAGGTAGACAGAAGCAATCTCAGAAACTACTTTGTGATGTGTGCATTCAACTCACCGAGTGCAACATTCCTCTTGACCGAGCAGTTTGGAAACATTGTTTCTGTAGAATCTGCAAGTGGATATTTGGACCTCTTTGAGGCCTTCGTTGGAAACGGGATTTCTTCCTATAAACCCAGACAGAAGAATTCTCAGAGACTTCTTTGTGATGTGTGAATTCAACTCACAGTGTGGATCCTTCCTTTTGATAGAGCAGTTTTGAAACACTGTTTTTGTAGTATTTCCAAGCGGATATTTGGAACGCCTTGAAGCGTATGGTAGAAAAGGAAATATCTTCCCATAAAACCTAGACAGAACCAATCTCAGAAACGACTTTGTGATGTCTGCATTCAACTCACAGAGTTGAACATTTCTCTTGATAGAGCAGTTTTGAAACCCTCTTTCTGAAGGATCTGCAAGTGGATATTTGGAACTCCTTTGGGTCTTCGTTGGAAACGGGATTTCTTCGTATAAATCTAGACAGAAGAATTCTCCGAAACTTCTTTGGTTGTGTGCATTCAAGTCACAGAGTGGAACCTTCCTTTGGATAGAGCAGTTTGAAACGCTGTGGTTGTAGTATTTCCAAGCGGATATTAGAGCGCCTTGAGGCCTATGGTAGAAAAGGAAATATCTTCCCATAAAACCTAGACGGAAGCAATCTCAGAAACTACTGTGTGATGGCTGCATTCCACACACACGGTGGAACATTTCTCTTGATAGAGCAGTTTTGAAACACTCTTTCTGTAGAATCTGCAAGTGGATAATTGGACCGCCTTGAGGCCTTCGTTGGAAACGGGATTTCTTCATGTTACTCTAGACAGAAGAATTCTCAAACACTGCTATGTGATGTTTGCATGCAAGTCACAGAGTGCAACATTCCTCTTGATAGAGCAGTTGGGAAACACTCCTTTTGTAGAATTTGCAATGGGATATTTGGACTTCTTTGAGGCCTTCGTTGGAAACGGGATTTCTTCGTATGAATCTAGACAGAAGAATTCTCAGAAACTTCCTTGTGATGTGTGCATTCAACTCAGCGAGTGGCACCTTCCTTTGGATACAGCAGTTTTGAAACACTGTTTTTGTAGTATTTCCAAGCGGATATTTAGAGCGCCTTGAAGCCTATGCTAGAAATGGAAATATCTCCCCATAAAACCAAGACAGAAGCAATCTCAGAAACTAATGTGTGATGGCTGCATTCCACACACACGGTGGACCATTTCTCTTGATAGAGCAGTTTTGAAACACTCTTTCTGTAGAATCTGCAAGTGGATAATTGGACCTCCTAGAGGCCTTCGTTGGAAACGGGATTTCTTCATCTAAACCTACAGAGAAGAATTCTCAGTAACTTCTTCGGATGTGTGCATTCGACTCACAGAATGGAACATTCCCTTTGATAGAGCAGTTTTGAGACACCGTTTTTGTAGAATTCCCAAGTGGATATTTAGAGCACTTTGAAGTCTCTGCTAGAAAAGGAAACATCTTCATGTAAAAAGTAGATAGAATCGTTCTCAGAAAGTGCTTAGTGACGTGTGCGTTCAACTCACAGAGTTTAACGTTTCTTTTGATAGAGCGTTTCTGAAACACCCTTCTTGTAGTAGCTGCAAGTGGATATTTGGACCTATTTGAGGCCTTCTTTGGAAACGGGATTTCTTCATGTAACTCTCGTTTGAAGAATTTTCAGAAACTCCTTTGTGATGTGTGCATTCAATTCAAAGAGTGAAACCTCCCTTTTCACAGAGCAGTTTTGAAACACTGTTTTTGTAGGATTTCCAAGGGGATATTTATAGCGCATTGATCCTACGGCAGAAAAAGAAACATCTTCCTATAAAAACTAGACAGAATAATTCTCAGAATCTGCTTTGCGATGTGTGCGTTCAACCCACAGAGTAAAACTTTTCTTTTGATAGAGCAGTTTTGAAACACTCTTTTTGTAGTATTTGCATGTGTATATTTAGAGCGCATTGAAGCCCACAGTAGAAAAGGAAATAACTTCACCTAAAACCTAGACAGAAGCAATCTCAGAAACTACTTTGTGATGTGTACATTCAACTCACAGAGTGGAACTTTCCTCTTTATAGAGCAGTGTTGAAACACTCTTTTTGTAGAAACTGCAAGTGGATATTTGGACCTCTTTGAGGCCTTCGTTGGAAAGGGGATTTCTTCCTATAACCCTAGACAGAAGAATTTTCAGAAACCTCATTGTGATGTGTGCATTCATCTCACAGAGTGGAGTGTTCCGTTTGATAGAGAAGTTTTGAAACCCTGTTCTTGTAGGATTTCCAAGTGGATATTTAGACCACTTTGAAGCCTATGATAGAAAAGGAAACATCTTCATGGAAAACATAGATAGAATCATTCTCAGAAACAACTTTGTGATGTGTGCGTTGAACTCACCGTCTTTAACCTTTCTTTTGGTAGAGAAGTTTTGAAACACTCTCTTTGTAAAGTCTACAAGTGGATATTTTGAGCCCTTGGAGGCATTCTTTGGAAAAGGGAATGTCTTCACATAAAAGGCAGACAGAAGTGTTCTCAGAAACTGCTTTGTGATGTCTGTGTTCAACTCACAGAGTTTAACATTTCCTTTGAGAGAGCGGTTTAGTAACACTCTCTTTGTAGAATTTGGAAGTGTATACTAAGAGCGCTTTGAGGCCTATGGTAGAAAAGGAACTATCTTTCCATAAAAGCTAGACAGAAGCAATCTCAGAAACTCCTTTGTGATGTCTGCATTCAACTCACCGAGTGGAACATTCCTCTTGATAGAGCAGTTTGGAAACACTCTTTCTGTAGAATCAGCTTGTTTGTATTTGGACCTCCTTGAGGCCTTCGTTGGAAACGGGTTTTCATCTTATAAACCCAGACAGAAGAATTCTCAGAGTCTTCTTTGTGATGTGTGCTTTCAACTCACCGAGATAAAGATTTCTCTTGATAGAGCAATTTGGAAACACTCTTTTTGTAGAATTTGCAAGGGTACATTGAGAGCGCTTTCAGGCCTATGGTAGAAAAGGGAATATCTTTCCATAAAAGGTAGACAGAAGCAATCTCAGAAACTACTTTGTGATGTGTGCATTCAACTCACCGAGTGCAACATTCCTCTTGATAGAGCAGTTTGGAAACATTGTTTCTGTAGAATCTGCAAGTGGATATATGGACCGCTTTGAGGCCTTCGTTGGAAACGGGATTTCTTCCTATAAACCCAGACAGAAGAATTCTCAGAGATTTCTTTGTGATGTGTGAATTCAACTCACAGTGTGGATCCTTCCTTTTGATAGAGCAGTTTTGAAACACTGTTTTTGTAGTATTTCCAAGCGGATATTTGGAACGCCTTGAAGCGTATGGTAGAAAAGGAAATATCTTCCCATAAAACCTAGACAGAACCCATCTCAGAAACGACTTTGTGATGTCTGCATTCAACTCACAGAGTTGAACATTTCTCTTGATAGAGCAGTTTTGAAACCCTCTTTCTGAAGGATCTGCAAGTGGATATTTGGAACTCCTTTGGGTCTTCGTTGGAAACGGGATTTCTTCGTATAAATCCAGACAGAAGAATTCTCCGAAACTTCTTTGGTTGTGTGCATTCAAGTCACAGAGTGGAACCTTCCTTTGGATAGAGCAGTTTGAAACGCTGTGGTTGTAGTATTTCCAAGCGGATATTAGAGCGCCTTGAGGCCTATGGTAGAAAAGGAAATATCTTCCCATAAAACCTAGACGGAAGCAATCTCAGAAACTACTGTGTGATGGCTGCATTCCACACACACGGTGGAACATTTCTCTTGATAGAGCAGTTTTGAAACACTCTTTCTGTAGAATCTGCAAGTGGATAATTGGACCGCCTTGAGGCCTTCGTTGGAAACGGGATTTCTTCATGTTACTCTAGACAGAAGAATTCTCAAACACTGCTATATGATGTTTGCATGCAAGTCACAGAGTGCAACATTCCTCTTGATAGAGCAGTTGGGAAACACTCCTTTTGTAGAATTTGCAATGGGATATTTGGACTTCTTTGAGGCCTTCGTTGGAAACGGGATTTCTTCGTATGAATCTAGACAGAAGAATTCTCAGAAACTTCCTTGTGATGTGTGCATTCAACTCAGCGAGTGGCACCTTCCTTTGGATACAGCAGTTTTGAAACACTGTTTTTGTAGTATTTCCAAGCGGATATTTAGAGCGCCTTGAAGCCTATGCTAGAAATGGAAATATCTCCCCATAAAACCAAGACAGAAGCAATCTCAGAAACTAATGTGTGATGGCTGCATTCCACACACACGGTGGACCATTTCTCTTGATAGAGCAGTTTTGAAACACTCTTTCTGTAGAATCTGCAAGTGGATAATTGGACCTCCTAGAGGCCTTCGTTGGAAACGGGATTTCTTCATCTAAACCTACAGAGAAGAATTCTCAGTAACTTCTTCGGATGTGTGCATTCGACTCACAGAATGGAACATTCCGTTTGATAGAGCAGTTTTGAGACACCGTTTTTGTAGAATTCCCAAGTGGATATTTAGAGCACTTTGAAGTCTCTGCTAGAAAAGGAAACATCTTCATGTAAAAAGTAGATAGAATCGTTCTCAGAAAGTGCTTAGTGACGTGTGTGTTCAACTCACAGAGTTTATCGTTTCTTTTGATAGAGCGTTTCTGAAACACCCTTCTTGTAGTAGCTGCAAGTGGATATTTGGACCTATTTGAGGCCTTCTTTGGAAACGGGATTTCTTCATGTAACTCTAGATTGAGAGAATTTTCGAAACTCCTTTGTGATGTGTGCATTCAATTCAAAGAGTGAAACGTCCCTTTTCACAGAGCAGTTTTGAAACACTGTTTTTGTGGGATTTCCAAGGGGATATTTATAGCGCATTGAGCCTACGGCAGAAAAAGAAACATCTTCCTATAAAAACTAGACAGAATAATTCTCAGAATCTGCTTTGCGATGTGTGCGTTCAACCCACAGAGTAAAACTTTTGTTTTGATAAAGCAGTTTTGAAACACTCTTTTTGTAGTATTTGCATGTGTATATTTAGAGCGCATTGAAGCCCACAGTAGAAAAGGAAATAACTTCACCTAAAACCTAGACAGAAGCAATCTCAGAAACTACTTTGTGATGTGTACATTCAACTCACAGAGTGGAACATTCCTCTTTATAGAGCAGTGTTGAAACACTCTTTTTGTAGAAACTGCAAGTGGATATTTGGACCTCTTTGAGGCCTTCGTTGGAAACGGGATTTCTTCCTATAACCCTAGACAGAAGAATTTTCAGAAACCTCATTGTGATGTGTGCGTTCATCTCACAGAGTGGAGTCTTCCGTTTGATAGAGAAGTTTTGAAACCCTGTTCTTGTAGGATTTCCAAGTGGATATTTAGACCACTTTGAAGCCTATGATAGAAAAGGAAACATCTTCATGGAAAACATAGATAGAATCATTCTCAGAAACAACTTTGTGATGTGTGCGTTGAACTCACAGTCTTTAACCTTTCTTTAGGTAGAGAAGTTTTGAAACACTCTCTTTGTAAAGTCTACAAGTGGATATTTTGGGCCCTTGGAGGCATTCTTTGGAAAAGGGAATGTCTTCACATAAAAGGCAGACAGAAGTGTTCTCAGAAACTGCTTTGTGATGTCTGTGTTCAACTCACAGAGTTTAACATTTCCTTTGAGAGAGCGGTTTAGTAACACTCTCTTTGTAGAATTTGGAAGTGTATACTAAGAGCGCTTTGAGGCCTATGGTAGAAAAGGAAATATCTTTCCATAAAAGCTAGACAGAAGCAATCTCAGAAACTCCTTTGTGATGTCTGCATTCAACTCACCGAGTGGAACATTCCTCTTGATAGAGCAGTTTGGAAACACTCTTTCTGTAGAATCAGCTTGTTTGTATTTGGACCTCCTTGAGGCCTTTGTTGGAAACGGGTTTTCATCATATAAACCCAGACAGAAGAATTCTCAGAGTCTTCTTTGTGATGTGTGCTTTCAACTCACCGAGATAAAGATTTCTCTTGATAGAGCAATTTGGAAACACTCTTTTTGTAGAATTTGCAAGGGTACATTGAGAGCGCTTTCAGGCCTATGGTAGAAAAGGGAATATCTTTCCATAAAAGGTAGACAGAAGCAATCTCAGAAACTACTTTGTGATGTGTGCATTCAACTCACCGAGTGCAACATTCCTCTTGACCGAGCAGTTTGGAAACATTGTTTCTGTAGAATCTGCAAGTGGATATATGGACCGCTTTGAGGCCTTCGTTGGAAACGGGATTTCTTCCTATAAACCCAGACAGAAGAATTCTCAGAGATTTCTTTGTGATGTGTGAATTCAACTCACAGTGTGGATCCTTCCTTTTGATAGAGCAGTTTTGAAACACTGTTTTTGTAGTATTTCCAAGCGGATATTTGGAACGCCTTGAAGCGTATGGTAGAAAAGGAAATATCTTCCCATAAAACCTAGACAGAACCCATCTCAGAAACGACTTTGTGATGTCTGCATTCAACTCACAGAGTTGAACATTTCTCTTGATAGAGCAGTTTTGAAACCCTCTTTCTGAAGGATCTGCAAGTGGATATTTGGAACTCCTTTGGGTCTTCGTTGGAAATGGGATTTCTTCGTATAAATCCAGACAGAAGAATTCTCCGAAACTTCTTTGGTTGTGTGCATTCAAGTCACAGAGTGGAACCTTCCTTTGGATAGAGCAGTTTGAAACGCTGTGGTTGTAGTATTTCCAAGCGGATATTAGAGCGCCTTGAAGCCTATGGTAGAAAAGGAAATATCTTCCCATAAAACCTAGACGGAAGCAATCTCAGAAACTACTGTGTGATGGCTGCATTCCACACACACGGTGGAACATTTCTCTTGATAGAGCAGTTTTGAAACACTCTTTCTGTAGAATCTGCAAGTGGATAATTGGACCGCCTTGAGGCCTTCGTTGGAAACGGGATTTCTTCATGTTACTCTAGACAGAATAATTCTCAAACACTGCTATAAGATGTTTGCATGCAAGTCACAGAGTGCAACATTCCTCTTGATAGAGCAGTTGGGAAACACTCCTTTTGTAGAATTTGCAATGGGATATTTGGACTTCTTTGAGGCCTTCGTTGGAAACGGGATTTCTTCGTATGAATCTAGACAGAAGAATTCTCAGAAACTTCCTTGTGATGTGTGCATTCAACTCAGCGAGTGGCACCTTCCTTTGGATACAGCAGTTTTGAAACACTGTTTTTGTAGTATTTCCAAGCGGATATTTAGAGCGCCTTGAAGCCTATGCTAGAAATGGAAATATCTCCCCATAAAACCAAGACAGAAGCAATCTCAGAAACTAATGTGTGATGGCTGCATTCCACACACACGGTGGACCATTTCTCTTGATAGAGCAGTTTTGAAACACTCTTTCTGTAGAATCTGCAAGTGGATAATTGGACCTCCTAGAGGCCTTCGTTGGAAACGGGATTTCTTCATCTAAACCTACAGAGAAGAATTCTCAGTAACTTCTTCGGATGTGTGCATTCGACTCACAGAATGGAACATTCCGTTTGATAGAGCAGTTTTGAGACACCGTTTTTGTAGAATTCCCAAGTGGATATTTAGAGCACTTTGAAGTCTCTGCTAGAAAAGGAAACACCTTCATGTAAAAAGTAGATAGAATCGTTCTCAGAAAGTGCTTAGTGACGTGTGCGTTCAACTCACAGAGTTTAACGTTTCTTTTGATAGAGCGTTTCTGAAACACCCTTCTTGTAGTAGCTGCAAGTGGATATTTGGACCTATTTGAGGCCTTCTTTGGAAACGGGATTTCTTCATGTAACTCTCGTTTGAAGAATTTTCAGAAACTCCTTTGTGATGTGTGCATTCAATTCAAAGAGTGAAACCTCCCTTTTCACAGAGCAGTTTTGAAACACTGTTTTTGTAGGACTTCCAAGGGGATATTTATAGCGCATTGAGCCTATGGCAGAAAAAGAAACATCTTCCTATAAAAACTAGACAGAATAATTCTCAGAATCTGCTTTGCGATGTGTGCGTTCAACCCACAGAGTAAAACTTTTCTTTTGATAGAGCAGTTTTGAAACACTCTTTTCGTAGTATTTGCATGTGTATATTTAGAGCGCATTGAAGCCCACAGTAGAAAAGGAAATAACTTCACCTAAAACCTAGACAGAAGCAATCTCAGAAACTACTTTGTGATGTGTACATTCAACTCACAGAGTGGAACTTTTCTCTTTATAGAGCAGTGTTGAAACACTCTTTTTGTAGAAACTGCAAGTGGATATTTGGACCTCTTTGAGGCCTTCGTTGGAAACGGGATTTCTTCCTATAACCCTAGACAGAAGAATTTTCAGAAACCTCATTGTGATGTGTGTGTTCATCTCACAGAGTGGAGTCTTCCGTTTGATAGAGAAGTTTTGAAACCCTGTTCTTGTAGGATTTCCAAGTGGATATTTAGACCACTTTGAAGCCTATGATAGAAAAGGAAACATCTTCATGGAAAACATAGATAGAATCATTCTCAGAAACAACTTTGTGATGTGTGCGTTGAACTCACCGTCTTTAACCTTTCTTTTGGTAGAGAAGTTTTGAAACACTCTCTTTGTAAAGTCTACAAGTGGATATTTTGAGCCCTTGGAGGCATTCTTTGGAAAAGGGAATGTCTTCACATAAAAGGCAGACAGAAGTGTTCTCAGAAACTGCTTTGTGATGTCTGTGTTCAACTCACAGAGTTTAACATTTCCTTTGAGAGAGCGGTTTAGTAACACTCTCTTTGTAGAATTTGGAAGTGTATACTAAGAGCGCTTTGAGGCCTATGGTAGAAAAGGAAATATCTTTCCATAAAAGCTAGACAGAAGCAATCTCAGAAACTCCTTTGTGATGTCTGCATTCAACTCACCGCGTGGAACATTCCTCTTGATAGAGCAGTTTGGAAACACTCTTTCTGTAGAATCAGCTTGTTTGTATTTGGACCTCCTTGAGGCCTTCGTTGGAAACGGGTTTTCATCTTATAAACCCAGACAGAAGAATTCTCAGAGTCTTCTTTGTGATGTGTGCTTTCAACTCACCGAGATAAAGATTTCTCTTGATAGAGCAATTTGGAAACACTCTTTTTGTAGAATTTGCAAGGGTACATTGAGAGCGCTTTCAGGCCTATGGTAGAAAAGGGAATATCTTTCCATAAAAGGTAGACAGAAGCAATCTCAGAAACTACTTTGTTATGTGTGCATTCAACTCACCGAGTGCAACATTCCTCTTGATAGAGCAGTTTGGAAACATTGTTTCTGTAGAATCTGCAAGTGGATATATGGACCGCTTTGAGGCCTTCGTTGGAAACGGGATTTCTTCCTATAAACCCAGACAGAAGAATTCTCAGAGATTTCTTTGTGATGTGTGAATTCAACTCACAGTGTGGATCCCTCCTTTTGATAGAGCAGTTTTGAAACACCGTTTTTGTAGTATTTCCAAGCGGATATTTGGAACGCCTTGAAGCGTATGGTAGAAAAGGAAATATCTTCCCATAAAACCTAGACGGAACCAATCTCAGAAACGACTTTGTGATGTCTGCATTCAACTCACAGAGTTGAACATTTCTCTTGATAGAGCAGTTTTGAAACCCTCTTTCTGAAGGATCTGCAAGTGGATATTTGGAACTCCTTTGGGTCTTCGTTGGAAACGGGATTTCTTCGTATAAATCCAGACAGAAGAATTCTCCGAAACTTCTTTGGTTGTGTGCATTCAAGTCACAGAGTGGAACCTTCTTTTGGATAGAGCAGTTTGAAACGCTGTGGTTGTAGTATTCCCAAGCGGATATTAGAGCGCCTTGAGGCCTATGGTAGAAAAGGAAATATCTTCCCATAAAACCTAGACGGAAGCAATCTCAGAAACTACTGTGTGATGGCTGCATTCCACACACACGGTGGAACATTTCTCTTGATAGAGCAGTTTTGAAACACTCTTTCTGTAGAATCTGCAAGTGGATAATTGGACCGCCTTGAGGCCTTCGTTGGAAACGGGATTTCTTCATGTTACTCTAGACAGAAGAATTCTCAAACACTGCTATGTGATGTTTGCATGCAAGTCACAGAGTGCAACATTCCTCTTGATAGAGCAGTTGGGAAACACTCCTGTTGTAGAATTTGCAATGGGATATTTGGACTTCTTTGAGGCCTTCGTTGGAAACGGGATTTCTTCGTATGAATCTAGACAGAAGAATTCTCAGAAACTTCCTTGTGATGTGTGCATTCAACTCAGCGAGTGGCACCTTCCTTTGGATACAGCAGTTTTGAAACACTGTTTTTGTAGTATTTCCAAGCGGATATTTAGAGCGCCTTGAAGCCTATGCTAGAAATGGAAATATCTCCCCATAAAACCAAGACAGAAGCAATCTCAGAAACTAATGTGTGATGGCTGCATTCCACACACACGGTGGACCATTTCTCTTGATAGAGCAGTTTTGAAACACTCTTTCTGTAGAATCTGCAAGTGGATAATTGGACCTCCTAGAGGCCTTCGTTGGAAACGGGATTTCTTCATCTAAACCTACAGAGAAGAATTCTCAGTAACTTCTTCGGATGTGTGCATTCGACTCACAGAATGGAACATTCCGTTTGATAGAGCAGTTTTGAGACACCGTTTTTGTAGAATTCCCAAGTGGATATTTAGAGCACTTTGAAGTCTCTGCTAGAAAAGGAAACATCTTCATGTAAAAAGTAGATAGAATCGTTCTCAGAAAGTGCTTAGTGACGTGTGTGTTCAACTCACAGAGTTTAACGTTTCTTTTGATAGAGCGTTTCTGAAACACCCTTCTTGTAGTAGCTGCAAGTGGATATTTGGACCTATTTGAGGCCTTCTTTGGAAACGGGATTTCTTCATGTAACTCTAGTTTGAAGAATTTTCAGAAACTCCTTTGTGATGTGTGCATTCAATTCAAAGAGTGAAACCTCCCTTTTCACAGAGCAGTTTTGAAACACTGTTTTTGTAGGATTTCCAAGGGGATATTTATAGCGCATTGAGCCTATGGCAGAAAAAGAAACATCTTCCTATAAAAACTAGACAGAATAATTCTCAGAATCTGCTTTGCGATGTGTGCGTTCAACTCACAGAGTAAAACTTTTCTTTTGATAGAGCAGTTTTGAAACACTCTTTTTGTAGTATTTGCATGTGTATATTTAGAGCGCATTGAAGCCCACAGTAGAAAAGGAAATAACTTCACCTAAAACCTAGACAGAAGCAATCTCAGAAACTACTTTGTGATGTGTACATTCAACTCACAGAGTGGAACTTTTCTCTTTATAGAGCAGTGTTGAAACACTCTTTTTGTAGAAACTGCAAGTGGATATTTGGACCTCTTTGAGGCCTTCGTTGGAAACGGGATTTCTTCCTATAACCCTAGACAGAAGAATTTTCAGAAACCTCATTGTGATGTGTGCGTTCATCTCACAGAGTGGAGTCTTCCGTTTGATAGAGAAGTTTTGAAACCCTGTTCTTGTAGGATTTCCAAGTGGATATTTAGACCACTTTGAAGCCTATGATAGAAAAGGAAACATCTTCATGGAAAACATAGATAGAATCATTCTCAGAAACAACTTTGTGATGTGTGCGTTGAACTCACCGTCTTTAACCTTTCTTTTGGTAGAGAAGTTTTGAAACACTCTCTTTGTAAAGTCTACGAGTGGATATTTTGAGCCCTTGGAGGCATTCTTTGGAAAAGGGAATGTCTTCACATAAAAGGCAGACAGAAGTGTTCTCAGAAACTGCTTTGTGATGTCTGTGTTCAACTCACAGAGTTTAACATTTCCTTTGAGAGAGCGGTTTAGTAACACTCTCTTTGTAGAATTTGGAAGTGTATACTAAGAGCGCTTTGAGGCCTATGGTAGAAAAGGAAATATCTTTCCATAAAAGCTAGACAGAAGCAATCTCAGAAACTCCTTTGTGATGTCTGCATTCAACTCACCGAGTGGAACATTCCTCTTGATAGAGCAGTTTGGAAACACTCTTTCTGTAGAATCAGCTTGTTTGTATTTGGACCTCCTTGAGGCCTTCGTTGGAAACGGGTTTTCATCTTATAAACCCAGACAGAAGAATTCTCAGAGTCTTCTTTGTGATGTGTGCTTTCAACTCACCGAGATAAAGATTTCTCTTGATAGAGCAATTTGGAAACACTCTTTTTGTAGAATTTGCAAGGGTACATTGAGAGCGCTTTCAGGCCTATGGTAGAAAAGGGAATATCTTTCCATAAAAGGTAGACAGAAGCAATCTCAGAAACTACTTTGTGATGTGTGCATTCAACTCACCGAGTGCAACATTCCTCTTGATAGAGCAGTTTGGAAACATTGTTTCTGTAGAATCTGCAAGTGGATATATGGACCGCTTTGAGGCCTTCGTTGGAAACGGGATTTCTTCCTATAAACCAAACAGAAGAATTCTCAGAGATTTCTTTGTGATGTGTGAATTCAACTCACAGTGTGGATCCTTCCTTTTGATAGAGCAGTTTTGAAACACCGTTTTTGTAGTATTTCCAAGCGGATATTTGGAACGCCTTGAAGCGTATGGTAGAAAAGGAAATATCTTCCCATAAAACCTAGACAGAACCAATCTCAGAAACGACTTTGTGATGTCTGCATTCAACTCACAGAGTTGAACATTTCTCTTGATAGAGCAGTTTTGAAACCCTCTTTCTGAAGGATCTGCAAGTGGATATTTGGAACTCCTTTGGGTCTTCGTTGGAAACGGGATTTCTTCGTATAAATCCAGACAGAAGAATTCTCCGAAACTTCTTTGGTTGTGTGCATTCAAGTCACAGAGTGGAACCTTCCTTTGGATAGAGCAGTTTGAAACGCTGTGGTTGTAGTATTTCCAAGCGGATATTAGAGCGCCTTGAAGCCTATGGTAGAAAAAGAAATATCTTCCCATAAAACCTAGACGGAAGCAATCTCAGAAACTACTGTGTGATGGCTGCATTCCACACACACGGTGGAACATTTCTCTTGATAGAGCAGTTTTGAAACACTCTTTCTGTAGAATCTGCAAGTGGATAATTGGACCGCCTTGAGGCCTTCGTTGGAAACGGGATTTCTTCATGTTACTCTAGACAGAAGAATTCTCAAACACTGCTGTGTGATGTTTGCATGCAAGTCACAGAGTGCAACATTCCTCTTGATAGAGCAGTTGGGAAACACTCCTTTTGTAGAATTTGCAATGGGATATTTGGACTTCTTTGAGGCCTTCGTTGGAAACGGGATTTCTTCGTATGAATCTAGACAGAAGAATTCTCAGAAACTTCCTTGTGATGTGTGCATTCAACTCAGCGAGTGGCACCTTCCTTTGGATACAGCAGTTTTGAAACACTGTTTTTGTAGTATTTCCAAGCGGATATTTAGAGCGCCTTGAAGCCTATGCTAGAAATGGAAATATCTCCCCATAAAACCAAGACAGAAGCAATCTCAGAAACTAATGTGTGATGGCTGCATTCCACACACACGGTGGACCATTTCTCTTGATAGAGCAGTTTTGAAACACTCTTTCTGTAGAATCTGCAAGTGGATAATTGGACCTCCTAGAGGCCTTCGTTGGAAACGGGATTTCTTCATCTAAACCTACAGAGAAGAATTCTCAGTAACTTCTTCGGATGTGTGCATTCGACTCACAGAATGGAACATTCCCTTTGGTAGAGCAGTTTTGAGACACCGTTTTTGTAGAATTCCCAAGTGGATATTTAGAGCACTTTGAAGTCTCTGCTAGAAAAGGAAACATTCTTCATGTAAAAAGTAGATAGAATCGTTCTCAGAAAGTGCTTAGTGACGTGTGCGTTCAACTCACAGAGTTTAACGTTTCTTTTGATAGAGCGTTTCTGAAACACCCTTCTTGTAGTAGCTGCAAGTGGATATTTGGACCTATTTGAGGCCTTCTTTGGAAACGGGATTTCTTCATGTAACTCTAGATTGAAGAATTTTCAGAAACTCCTTTGTGATGTGTGCATTCAATTCAAAGAGTGAAACGTCCCTTTTCACAGAGCAGTTTTGAAACACTGTTTTTGTAGGATTTCCAAGGGGATATTTATAGCGCATTGAGCCTACGGCAGAAAAAGAAACATCTTCCTATAAAAACTAGACAGAATAATTCTCAGAATCTGCTTTGCGATGTGTGCGTTCAACCCACAGAGTAAAACTTTTCTTTTGATAGAGCAGTTTTGAAACACTCTTTTTGTAGTATTTGCATGTGTATATTTAGAGCGCATTGAAGCCCACAGTAGAAAAGGAAATAACTTCAACTAAAACCTAGACAGAAGCAATCTCAGAAACTACTTTGTGATGTGTACATTCAACTCACAGAGTGGAACTTTCCTCTTTATAGAGCAGTGTTGAAACACTCTTTTTGTAGAAACTGCAAGTGGATATTTGGACCTCTTTGAGGCCTTCGTTGGAAACGGGATTTCTTCCTATAACCCTAGACAGAAGAATTTTCAGAAACCTCATTGTGATGTGTGCGTTCATCTCACAGAGTGGAGTCTTCCGTTTGATAGAGAAGTTTTGAAACCCTGTTCTTGTAGGATTTCCAAGTGGATATTTAGACCACTTTGAAGCCTATGATAGAAAAGGAAACATCTTCATGGAAAACATAGATAGAATCATTCTCAGAAACAACTTTGTGATGTGTGCGTTGAACTCACAGTCTTTAACCTTTCTTTTGGTAGAGAAGTTTTGAAACACTCTCTTTGTAAAGTCTACAAGTGGATATTTTGGGCCCTTGGAGGCATTCTTTGGAAAAGGGAATGTCTTCACATAAAAGGCAGACAGAAGTGTTCTCAGAAACTGCTTTGTGATGTCTGTGTTCAACTCACAGAGTTTAACATTTCCTTTGAGAGAGCGGTTTAGTAACACTCTCTTTGTAGAATTTGGAAGTGTATACTAAGAGCGCTTTGAGGCCTATGGTAGAAAAGGAAATATCTTTCCATAAAAGCTAGACAGAAGCAATCTCAGAAACTCCTTTGTGATGTCTGCATTCAACTCACCGAGTGGAACATTCCTCTTGATAGAGCAGTTTGGAAACACTCTTTCTGTAGAATCAGCTTGTTTGTATTTGGACCTCCTTGAGGCCTTCGTTGGAAACGGGTTTTCATCTTATAAACCCAGACAGAAGAATTCTCAGAGTCTTCTTTGTGATGTGTGCTTTCAACTCACCGAGATAAAGATTTCTCTTGATAGAGCAATTTGGAAACACTCTTTTTGTAGAATTTGCAAGGGTACATTGAGAGCGCTTTCAGGCCTATGGTAGAAAAGGGAATATCTTTCAATAAAAGGTAGACAGAAGCAATCTCAGAAACTACTTTGTGATGTGTGCATTCAACTCACCGAGTGCAACATTCCTCTTGACCGAGCAGTTTGGAAACATTGTTTCTGTAGAATCTGCAAGTGGATATATGGACCGCTTTGAGGCCTTCGTTGGAAACGGGATTTCTTCCTATAAACCCAGACAGAAGAATTCTCAGAGATTTCTTTGTGATGTGTGAATTCAACTCACAGTGTGGATCCTTCCTTTTGATAGAGCAGTTTTGAAACACTGTTTTTGTAGTATTTCCAAGCGGATATTTGGAACGCCTTGAAGCGTATGGTAGAAAAGGAAATATCTTCCCATAAAACCTAGACAGAACCCATCTCAGAAACGACTTTGTGATGTCTGCATTCAACTCACAGAGTTGAACATTTCTCTTGATAGAGCAGTTTTGAAACCCTCTTTCTGAAGGATCTGCAAGTGGATATCTGGAACTCCTTTGGGTCTTCGTTGGAAACGGGATTTCTTCGTATAAATCCAGACAGAAGAATTCTCCGAAACTTCTTTGGTTGTGTGCATTCAAGTCACAGAGTGGAACCTTCCTTTGGATAGAGCAGTTTGAAACGCTGTGGTTGTAGTATTTCCAAGCGGATATTAGAGCGCCTTGAGGCCTATGGTAGAAAAGGAAATATCTTCCCATAAAACCTAGACGGAAGCAATCTCAGAAACTACTGTGTGATGGCTGCATTCCACACACACGGTGGAACATTTCTCTTGATAGAGCAGTTTTGAAACACTCTTTCTGTAGAATCTGCAAGTGGATAATTGGACCGCCTTGAGGCCTTCATTGGAAACGGGATTTCTTCATGTTACTCTAGATAGAAGAATTCGCAAACACTACTCTGTGATGTTTGCATTCAAGTCACAGAGTGCCACATTCCTCTTGATAGAGCAGTTGGGAAACACTCCTTTTGTAGAATCTGCAATGGGATATTTGGACTTCTTTGAGGCCTTCGTTGGAAACGGGATTTCTTCGTATGAATCTAGACAGAAGAATTCTCAGAAACTTCCTTGTGATGTGTGCATTCAACTCAGCGAGTGGCACCTTCCTTTGGATACAGCAGTTTTGAAACACTGTTTTTGTAGTATTTCCAAGCGGATATTTAGAGCGCCTTGAAGCCTATGCTAGAAATGGAAATATCTCCCCATAAAACCAAGACAGAAGCAATCTCAGAAACTAATGTGTGATGGCTGCATTCCACACACACGGTGGACCATTTCTCTTGATAGAGCAGTTTTGAAACACTCTTTCTGTAGAATCTGCAAGTGGATAATTGGACCTCCTAGAGGCCTTCGTTGGAAACGGGATTTCTTCATCTAAACCTACAGAGAAGAATTCTCAGTAACTTCTTCGGATGTGTGCATTCGACTCACAGAATGGAACATTCCCTTTGGTAGAGCAGTTTTGAGACACCGTTTTTGTAGAATTCCCAAGTGGATATTTAGAGCACTTTGAAGTCTCTGCTAGAAAAGGAAACATCTTCATGTAAAAAGTAGATAGAATCGTTCTCAGAAAGTGCTTAGTGACGTGTGCGTTCAACTCACAGAGTTTAACGTTTCTTTTGATAGAGCGTTTCTGAAACACCCTTCTTGTAGTAGCTGCAAGTGGATATTTGGACCTATTTGAGGCCTTCTTTGGAAACGGGATTTCTTCATGTAACTCTAGATTGAAGAATTTTCAGAAACTCCTTTGTGATGTGTGCATTCAATTCAAAGAGTGAAACCTCCCTTTTCACAGAGCAGTTTTGAAACACTGTTTTTGTAGGATTTCCAAGGGGATATTTATAGCGCATTGAGCCTATGGCAGAAAAAGAAACATCTTCCTATAAAAACTAGACAGAATAATTATCAGAATCTGCTTTGCGATGTGTGCGTTCAACTCACAGAGTAAAACTTTTCTTTTGATAGAGCAGTTTTGAAACACTCTTTTTGTAGTATTTGCATGTGTATATTTAGAGCGCATTGAAGCCCACAGTAGAAAAGGAAATAACTTCACCTAAAACCTAGACAGAAGCAATCTCAGAAACTACTTTGTGATGTGTACATTCAACTCACAGAGTGGAACTTTTCTCTTTATAGAGCAGTGTTGAAACACTCTTTTTGTAGAAACTGCAAGTGGATATTTGGACCTCTTTGAGGCCTTCGTTGGAAACGGGATTTCTTCCTATAACCCTAGACAGAAGAATTTTCAGAAACCTCATTGTGATGTGTGCGTTCATCTCACAGAGTGGAGTCTTCCGTTTGATAGAGAAGTTTTGAAACCCTGTTCTTGTAGGATTTCCAAGTGGATATTTAGACCACTTTGAAGCCTATGATAGAAAAGGAAACATCTTCATGGAAAACATAGATAGAATCATTCTCAGAAACAACTTTGTGATGTGTGCGTTGAACTCACCGTCTTTAACCTTTCTTTTGGTAGAGAAGTTTTGAAACACTCTCTTTGTAAAGTCTACAAGTGGATATTTTGAGCCCTTGGAGGCATTCTTTGGAAAAGGGAATGTCTTCACATAAAAGGCAGACAGAAGTGTTCTCAGAAACTGCTTTGTGATGTCTGTGTTCAACTCACAGAGTTTAACATTTCCTTTGAGAGAGCGGTTTAGTAACACTCTCTTTGTAGAATTTGGAAGTGTATACTAAGAGCGCTTTGAGGCCTATGGTAGAAAAGGAAATATCTTTCCATAAAAGCTAGACAGAAGCAATCTCAGAAACTCCTTTGTGATGTCTGCATTCAACTCACCGAGTGGAACATTCCTCTTGATAGAGCAGTTTGGAAACACTCTTTCTGTAGAATCAGCTTGTTTGTATTTGGACCTCCTTGAGGCCTTCGTTGGAAACGGGTTTTCATCTTATAAACCCAGACAGAAGAATTCTCAGAGTCTTCTTTGTGATGTGTGCTTTCAACTCACCGAGATAAAGATTTCTCTTGATAGAGCAATTTGGAAACACTCTTTTTGTAGAATTTGCAAGGGTACATTGAGAGCGCTTTCAGGCCTATGGTAGAAAAGGGAATATCTTTCCATAAAAGGTAGACAGAAGCAATCTCAGAAACTACTTTGTGATGTGTGCATTCAACTCACCGAGTGCAACATTCCTCTTGACCGAGCAGTTTGGAAACATTGTTTCTGTAGAATCTGCAAGTGGATATTTGGACCTCTTTGAGGCCTTCGTTGGAAACGGGATTTCTTCCTATAAACCCAGACAGAAGAATTCTCAGAGACTTCTTTGTGATGTGTGAATTCAACTCACAGTGTGGATCCTTCCTTTTGATAGAGCAGTTTTGAAACACTGTTTTTGTAGTATTTCCAAGCGGATATTTGGAACGCCTTGAAGCGTATGGTAGAAAAGGAAATATCTTCCCATAAAACCTAGACAGAACCAATCTCAGAAACGACTTTGTGATGTCTGCATTCAACTCACAGAGTTGAACATTTCTCTTGATAGAGCAGTTTTGAAACCCTCTTTCTGAAGGATCTGCAAGTGGATATTTGGAACTCCTTTGGGTCTTCGTTGGAAACGGGATTTCTTCGTATAAATCTAGACAGAAGAATTCTCCGAAACTTCTTTGGTTGTGTGCATTCAAGTCACAGAGTGGAACCTTCCTTTGGATAGAGCAGTTTGAAACGCTGTGGTTGTAGTATTTCCAAGCGGATATTAGAGCGCCTTGAGGCCTATGGTAGAAAAGGAAATATCTTCCCATAAAACCTAGACGGAAGCAATCTCAGAAACTACTGTGTGATGGCTGCATTCCACACACACGGTGGAACATTTCTCTTGATAGAGCAGTTTTGAAACACTCTTTCTGTAGAATCTGCAAGTGGATAATTGGACCGCCTTGAGGCCTTCGTTGGAAACGGGATTTCTTCATGTTACTCTAGATAGAAGAATTCTCAAACACTGCTATGTGATGTTTGCATTCAAGTCACAGAGTGCAACATTCCTCTTGATAGAGCAGTTGGGAAACACTCCTTTTGTAGAATTTGCAATGGGATATTTGGACTTCTTTGAGGCCTTCGTTGGAAACGGGATTTCTTCGTATGAATCTAGACAGAAGAATTCTCAGAAACTTCCTTGTGATGTGTGCATTCAACTCAGCGAGTGGCACCTTACTTTGGATACAGCAGTTTTGAAACACTGTTTTTGTAGTATTTCCAAGCGGATATTTAGAGCGCCTTGAAGCCTATGCTAGAAATGGAAATATCTCCCCATAAAACCAAGACAGAAGCAATCTCAGGAAACTAATGTGTGATGGCTGCATTCCACACACACGGTGGACCATTTCTCTTGATAGAGCAGTTTTGAAACACTCTTTCTGTAGAATCTGCAAGTGGATAATTGGACCTCCTAGAGGCCTTCGTTGGAAACGGGATTTCTTCATCTAAACCTACAGAGAAGAATTCTCAGTAACTTCTTCGGATGTGTGCATTCGACTCACAGAATGGAACATTCCCTTTGATAGAGCAGTTTTGAGACACCGTTTTTGTAGAATTCCCAAGTGGATATTTAGAGCACTTTGAAGTCTCTGCTAGAAAAGGAAACATCTTCATGTAAAAAGTAGATAGAATCGTTCTCAGAAAGTGCTTAGTGACGTGTGCGTTCAACTCACAAGAGTTTAACGTTTCTTTTGATAGAGCGTTTCTGAAACACCCTTCTTGTAGTAGCTGCAAGTGGATATTTGGACCTATTTGAGGCCTTCTTTGGAAACGGGATTTCTTCATGTAACTCTAGATTGAAGAATTTTCAGAAACTCCTTTGTGATGTGTGCATTCAATTCAAAGAGTGAAACCTCCCTTTTCACAGAGCAGTTTTGAAACACTGTTTTTGTAGGATTTCCAAGGGGATATTTATAGCGCATTGAGCATACGGCAGAAAAAGAAACATCTTCCTATAAAAACTAGACAGAATAATTCTCAGAATCTGCTTTGCGATGTGTGCGTTCAACCCACAGAGTAAAACTTTTCTTTTGACAGAGCAGTTTTGAAACACTCTTTTTGTAGTATTTGCATGTGTATATTTAGAGCGCATTGAAGCCCACAGTAGAAAAGGAAATAACTTCACCTAAAACCTAGACAGAAGCAATCTCAGAAACTACTTTGTGATGTGTACATTCAACTCACAGAGTGGAACTTTCCTCTTTATAGAGCAGTGTTGAAACACTCTTTTTGTAGAAACTGCAAGTGGATATTTGGACCTCTTTGAGGCCTTCGTTGGAAACGGGATTTCTTCCTATAACCCTAGACAGAAGAATTTTCAGAAACCTCATTGTGATGTGTGCGTTCATCTCACAGAGTGGAGTCTTCCGTTTGATAGAGAAGTTTTGAAACCCTGTTCTTGTAGGATTTCCAAGTGGATATTTAGACCACTTTGAAGCCTATGATAGAAAAGGAAACATCTTCATGGAAAACATAGATAGAATCATTCTCAGAAACAACTTTGTGATGTGTGCGTTGAACTCACCGTCTTTAACCTTTCTTTTGGTAGAGAAGTTTTGAAACACTCTCTTTGTAAAGTCTACAAGTGGATATTTTGAGCCCTTGGAGGCATTCTTTGGAAAAGGGAATGTCTTCACATAAAAGGCAGACAGAAGTGTTCTCAGAAACTGCTTTGTGATGTCTGTGTTCAACTCACAGAGTTTAACATTTCCTTTGAGAGAGCGGTTTAGTAACACTCTCTTTGTAGAATTTGGAAGTGTATACTAAGAGCGCTTTGAGGCCTATGGTAGAAAAGGAAATATCTTTCCATAAAAGCTAGACAGAAGCAATCTCAGAAACTCCTTTGTGATGTCTGCATTCAACTCACCGAGTGGAACATTCCTCTTGATAGAGCAGTTTGGAAACACTCTTTCTGTAGAATCAGCTTGTTTGTATTTGGACCTCCTTGAGGCCTTCGTTGGAAACGGGTTTTCATCTTATAAACCCAGACAGAAGAATTCTCAGAGTCTTCTTTGTGATGTGTGCTTTCAACTCACCGAGATAAAGATTTCTCTTGATAGAGCAATTTGGAAACACTCTTTTTGTAGAATTTGCAAGGGTACATTGAGAGCGCTTTCAGGCCTATGGTAGAAAAGGGAATATCTTTCCATAAAAGGTAGACAGAAGCAATCTCAGAAACTACTTTGTGATGTGTGCATTCAACTCACCGAGTGCAACATTCCTCTTGATAGAGCAGTTTGGAAACATTGT
Source organism: Homo sapiens (assembly GCF_000001405.40). Taxonomy (NCBI): domain Eukaryota; kingdom Metazoa; phylum Chordata; class Mammalia; order Primates; family Hominidae; genus Homo; species Homo sapiens. The sequence continues at coordinate 59,388,560 of NC_000006.12, forward strand.
TTTTGTAGAATCTGCAAGTGGATATATGGACCGCTTTGAGGCCTTCGTTGGAAACGGGATTTCTTCCTATAAACCCAGACAGAAGAATTCTCAGAGATTTCTTTGTGATGTGTGAATTCAACTCACAGTGTGGATCCCTTCCTTTTGATAGAGCAGTTTTGAAACACTGTTTTTGTAGTATTTCCAAGCGGATATTTGGAACGCCTTGAAGCGTATGGTAGAAAAGGAAATATCTTCCCATAAAACCTAGACAGAACCCATCTCAGAAACGACTTTGTGATGTCTGCATTCAACTCACAGAGTTGAACATTTCTCTTGATAGAGCAGTTTTGAAACCCTCTTTCTGAAGGATCTGCAAGTGGATATTTGGAACTCCTTTGGGTCTTCGTTGGAAACGGGATTTCTTCGTATAAATCCAGACAGAAGAATTCTCCGAAACTTCTTTGGTTGTGTGCATTCAAGTCACAGAGTGGAACCTTCCTTTGGATAGAGCAGTTTGAAACGCTGTGGTTGTAGTATTTCCAAGCGGATATTAGAGCGCCTTGAGGCCTATGGTAGAAAAGGAAATATCTTCCCATAAAACCTAGACGGAAGCAATCTCAGAAACTACTGTGTGATGGCTGCATTCCACACACACGGTGGAACATTTCTCTTGATAGAGCAGTTTTGAAACACTCTTTCTGTAGAATCTGCAAGTGGATAATTGGACCGCCTTGAGGCCTTCGTTGGAAACGGGATTTCTTCATGTTACTCTAGACAGAAGAATTCTCAAACACTGCTGTGTGATGTTTGCATGCAAGTCACAGAGTGCAACATTCCTCTTGATAGAGCAGTTGGGAAACACTCCTTTTGTAGAATTTGCAATGGGATATTTGGACTTCTTTGAGGCCTTCGTTGGAAACGGGATTTCTTCGTATGAATCTAGACAGAAGAATTCTCAGAAACTTCCTTGTGATGTGTGCATTCAACTCAGCGAGTGGCACCTTCCTTTGGATACAGCAGTTTTGAAACACTGTTTTTGTAGTATTTCCAAGCGGATATTTAGAGCGCCTTGAAGCCTATGCTAGAAATGGAAATATCTCCCCATAAAACCAAGACAGAAGCAATCTCAGAAACTAATGTGTGATGGCTGCATTCCACACACACGGTGGACCATTTCTCTTGATAGAGCAGTTTTGAAACACTCTTTCTGTAGAATCTGCAAGTGGATAATTGGACCTCCTAGAGGCCTTCGTTGGAAACGGGATTTCTTCATCTAAACCTACAGAGAAGAATTCTCAGTAACTTCTTCGGATGTGTGCATTCGACTCACAGAATGGAACATTCCCTTTGATAGAGCAGTTTTGAGACACCGTTTTTGTAGAATTCCCAAGTGGATATTTAGAGCACTTTGAAGTCTCTGCTAGAAAAGGAAACATCTTCATGTAAAAAGTAGATAGAATCGTTCTCAGAAAGTGCTTAGTGACGTGTGTGTTCAACTCACAGAGTTTAACGTTTCTTTTGATAGAGCGTTTCTGAAACACCCTGCTTGTAGTAGCTGCAAGTGGATATTTGGACCTATTTGAGGCCTTCTTTGGAAACGGGATTTCTTCATGTAACTCTAGATTGAAGAATTTTCAGAAACTCCTTTGTGATGTGTGCATTCAATTCAAAGAGTGAAACCTCCCTTTTCATAGAGCAGTTTTGAAACACTGTTTTTGTAGGATTTCCAAGGGGATATTTATAGCGCATTGAGCCTATGGCAGAAAAAGAAACATCTTCGTATAAAAACTAGACAGAATAATTCTCAGAATCTGCTTTGCGATGTGTGCGTTCAACCCACAGAGTAAAAGTTTTCTTTTGATAGAGCAGTTTTGAAACACTCTTTTTGTAGTATTTGCATGTGTATATTTAGAGCGCATTGAAGCTCACAGTAGAAAAGGAAATAACTTCACCTAAAACCTAGACAGAAGCAATCTCAGAAACTACTTTGTGATGTGTACATTCAACTCACAGAGTGGAACTTTCCTCTTTATAGAGCAGTGTTGAAACACTCTTTTTGTAGAAACTGCAAGTGGATATTTGGACCTCTTTGAGGCCTTCGTTGGAAACGGGATTTCTTCCTATAACCCTAGACAGAAGAATTTTCAGAAACCTCATTGTCATGTGTGCGTTCATCTCACAGAGTGGAGTCTTCCGTTTGATAGAGAAGTTTTGAAACCCTGTTCTTGTAGGATTTCCAAGTGGATATTTAGACCACTTTGAAGCCTATGATAGAAAAGGAAACATCTTCATGGAAAACATAGATAGAATCATTCTCAGAAACAACTTTGTGATGTGTGCGTTGAACTCACAGTCTTTAACCTTTCTTTTGGTAGAGAAGTTTTGAAACACTCTCTTTGTAAAGTCTACAAGTGGATATTTTGAGCCCTTGGAGGCATTCTTTGGAAAAGGGAATGTCTTCACATAAAAGGCAGACAGAAGTGTTCTCAGAAACTGCTTTGTGATGTCTGTGTTCAACTCACAGAGTTTAACATTTCCTTTGAGAGAGCGGTTTAGTAACACTCTCTTTGTAGAATTTGGAAGTGTATACTAAGAGCGCTTTGAGGCCTATGGTAGAAAAGGAAATATCTTTCCATAAAAGCTAGACAGAAGCAATCTCAGAAACTCCTTTGTGATGTCTGCATTCAACTCACCGAGTGGAACATTCCTCTTGATAGAGCAGTTTGGAAACACTCTTTCTGTAGAATCAGCTTGTTTGTATTTGGACCTCCTTGAGGCCTTCGTTGGAAACGGGTTTTCATCTTATAAACCCAGACAGAAGAATTCTCAGAGTCTTCTTTGTGATGTGTGCTTTCAACTCACCGAGATAAAGATTTCTCTTGATAGAGCAATTTGGAAACACTCTTTTTGTAGAATTTGCAAGGGTACATTGAGAGCGCTTTCAGGCCTATGGTAGAAAAGGGAATATCTTTCCATAAAAGGTAGACAGAAGCAATCTCAGAAACTACTTTGTGATGTGTGCATTCAACTCACCGAGTGCAACATTCCTCTTGACCGAGCAGTTTGGAAACATTGTTTCTGTAGAATCTGCAAGTGGATATATGGACCGCTTTGAGGCCTTCGTTGGAAACGGGATTTCTTCCTATAAACCCAGACAGAAGAATTCTCAGAGATTTCTTTGTGATGTGTGAATTCAACTCACAGTGTGGATCCTTCCTTTTGATAGAGCAGTTTTGAAACACTGTTTTTGTAGTATTTCCAAGCGGATATTTGGAACGCCTTGAAGCGTATGGTAGAAAAGGAAATATCTTCTCATAAAACCTAGACAGAACCCATCTCAGAAACGACTTTGTGATGTCTGCATTCAACTCACAGAGTTGAACATTTCTCTTGATAGAGCAGTTTTGAAACCCTCTTTCTGAAGGATCTGCAAGTGGATATTTGGAACTCCTTTGGGTCTTCGTTGGAAACGGGATTTCTTCGTATAAATCCAGACAGAAGAATTCTCCGAAACTTCTTTGGTTGTGTGCATTCAAGTCACAGAGTGGAACCTTCCTTTGGATAGAGCAGTTTGAAACGCTGTGGTTGTAGTATTTCCAAGCGGATATTAGAGCGCCTTGAGGCCTATGGTAGAAAAGGAAATATCTTCCCATAAAACCTAGACGGAAGCAATCTCAGAAACTACTGTGTGATGGCTGCATTCCACACACACGGTGGAACATTTCTCTTGATAGAGCAGTTTTGAAACACTCTTTCTGTAGAATCTGCAAGTGGATAATTGGACCGCCTTGAGGCCTTCGTTGGAAACGGGATTTCTTCATGTTACTCTAGACAGAAGAATTCTCAAACACTGCTGTGTGATGTTTGCATGCAAGTCACAGAGTGCAACATTCCTCTTGATAGAGCAGTTGGGAAACACTCCTTTTGTAGAATTTGCAATGGGATATTTGGACTTCTTTGAGGCCTTCGTTGGAAACGGGATTTCTTCGTATGAATCTAGACAGAAGAATTCTCAGAAACTTCCTTGTGATGTGTGCATTCAACTCAGCGAGTGGCACCTTCCTTTGGATACAGCAGTTTTGAAACACTGTTTTTGTAGTATTTCCAAGCGGATATTTAGAGCGCCTTGAAGCCTATGCTAGAAATGGAAATATCTCCCCATAAAACCAAGACAGAAGCAATCTCAGAAACTAATGTGTGATGGCTGCATTCCACACACACGGTGGACCATTTCTCTTGATAGAGCAGTTTTGAAACACTCTTTCTGTAGAATCTGCAAGTGGATAATTGGACCTCCTAGAGGCCTTCGTTGGAAACGGGATTTCTTCATCTAAACCTACAGAGAAGAATTCTCAGTAACTTCTTCGGATGTGTGCATTCGACTCACAGAATGGAACATTCCCTTTGATGGAGCAGGTTTGAGACACCGTTTTTGTAGAATTCCCAAGTGGATATTTAGAGCACTTTGAAGTCTCTGCTAGAAAAGGAAACATCTTCATGTAAAAAGTAGATAGAATCGTTCTCAGAAAGTGCTTAGTGACGTGTGCGTTCAACTCACAGAGTTTAACGTTTCTTTTGATAGAGCGTTTCTGAAACACCCTTCTTGTAGTAGCTGCAAGTGGATATTTGGACCTATTTGAGGCCTTCTTTGGAAACGGGATTTCTTCATGTAACTCTAGATTGAAGAATTTTCAGAAACTCCTTTGTGAAGTGTGCATTCAATTCAAAGAGTGAAACCTCCCTTTTCACAGAGCAGTTTTGAAACACTGTTTTTGTAGGATTTCCAAGGGGATATTTATAGCGCATTGAGCCTATGGCAGAAAAAGAAACATCTTCCTATAAAAACTAGACAGAATAATTATCAGAATCTGCTTTGCGATGTGTGCGTTCAACTCACAGAGTAAAACTTTTCTTTTGATAGAGCAGTTTTGAAACACTCTTTTTGTAGTATTTGCATGTGTATATTTAGGGCGCATTGAAGCCCACAGTAGAAAAGGAAATAACTTCACCTAAAACCTAGACAGAAGCAATCTCAGAAACTACTTTGTGATGTGTACATTCAACTCACAGAGTGGAACTTTTCTCTTTATAGAGCAGTGTTGAAACACTCTTTTTGTAGAAACTGCAAGTGGATATTTGGACCTCTTTGAGGCCTTCGTTGGAAACGGGATTTCTTCCTATAACCCTAGACAGAAGAATTTTCAGAAACCTCATTGTGATGTGTGCGTTCATCTCACAGAGTGGAGTCTTCCGTTTGATAGAGAAGTTTTGAAACCCTGTTCTTGTAGGATTTCCAAGTGGATATTTAGACCACTTTGAAGCCTATGATAGAAAAGGAAACATCTTCATGGAAAACATAGATAGAATCATTCTCAGAAACAACTTTGTGATGTGTGCGTTGAACTCACCGTCTTTAACCTTTCTTTTGGTAGAGAAGTTTTGAAACACTCTCTTTGTAAAGTCTACAAGTGGATATTTTGAGCCCTTGGAGGCATTCTTTGGAAAAGGGAATGTCTTCACATAAAAGGCAGACAGAAGTGTTCTCAGAAACTGCTTTGTGATGTCTGTGTTCAACTCACAGAGTTTAACATTTCCTTTGAGAGAGCGGTTTAGTAACACTCTCTTTGTAGAATTTGGAAGTGTATACTAAGAGCGCTTTGAGGCCTATGGTAGAAAAGGAAATATCTTTCCATAAAAGCTAGACAGAAGCAATCTCAGAAACTCCTTTGTGATGTCTGCATTCAACTCACCGAGTGGAACATTCCTCTTGATAGAGCAGTTTGGAAACACTCTTTCTGTAGAATCAGCTTGTTTGTATTTGGACCTCCTTGAGGCCTTCGTTGGAAACGGGTTTTCATCTTATAAACCCAGACAGAAGAATTCTCAGAGTCTTCTTTGTGATGTGTGCTTTCAACTCACCGAGATAAAGATTTCTCTTGATAGAGCAATTTGGAAACACTCTTTTTGTAGAATTTGCAAGGGTACATTGAGAGCGCTTTCAGGCCTATGGTAGAAAAGGTAGACAGAAGCAATCTCAGAAACTACTTTCTGATGTGTGCATTCAACTCACCGAGTGCAACATTCCTCTTGATAGAGCAGTTTGGAAACATTGTTTCTGTAGAATCTGCAAGTGGATATATGGACCGCTTTGAGGCCTTCGTTGGAAACGGGATTTCTTCCTATAAACCCAGACAGAAGAATTCTCAGAGACTTCTTTGTGATGTGTGAATTCAACTCACAGTGTGGATCCTTCCCTTTTGATAGAGCAGTTTTGAAACACTGTTTTGGTAGTATTTACAAGCGGATATTTGGAACGCCTTGAAGCGTATGGTAGAAAAGGAAATATCTTCCCATAAAACCTAGACAGAACCAATCTCAGAAACGACTTTGTGATGTCTGCATTCAACTCACAGAGTTGAACATTTCTCTTGATAGAGCAGTTTTGAAACCCTCTTTCTGAAGGATCTGCAAGTGGATATTTGGAACTCCTTTGGGTCTTCGTTGGAAACGGGATCTCTTCATATAAATCGAGACAGAAGAATTCTCCGAAACTTCTTTGGTTGTGTGCATTCAAGTCACAGAGTGGAACCTTCCCTTTGGATAGAGCAGTTTGAAACGCTGTGGTTGTAGTATTTCCAAGCGGATATTAGAGCGCCTTGAGGCCTATGGTAGAAAAGGAAATATCTTCCCATAAAACCTAGACGGAAGCAATCTCAGAAACTACTGTGTGATGGCTGCATTCCACACACACGGTGGAACATTTCTCTTGATAGAGCAGTTTTGAAACACTCTTTCTGTAGAATCTGCAAGTGGATAATTGGACCGCCTTGAGGCCTTCGTTGGAAACGGGATTTCTTCATGTTACTCTAGACAGAAGAATTCTCAAACACTGCTATGTGATGTTTGCATTCAAGTCACAGAGTGCAACATTCCTCTTGATAGAGCAGTTGGGAAACACTCCTTTTGTAGAATTTGCAATGGGATATTTGGACTTCTTTGAGGCCTTCGTTGGAAACGGGATTTCTTCGTATGAATCTAGACAGAAGAATTCTCAGAAACTTCCTTGTGATGTGTGCATTCAACTCAGCGAGTGGCACCTTCCTTTGGATACAGCAGTTTTGAAACACTGTTTTTGTACTATTTCCAAGCGGATATTTAGAGCGCCTTGAAGCCTATGCTAGAAATGGAAATATCTCCCCATAAAACCAAGACAGAAGCAATCTCAGAAACTAATGTGTGATGGCTGCATTCCACACACACGGTGGACCATTTCTCTTGATAGAGCAGTTTTGAAACACTCTTTCTGTAGAATCTGCAAGTGGATAATTGGACCTCCTAGAGGCCTTCGTTGGAAACGGGATTTCTTCATCTAAACCTACAGAGAAGAATTCTCAGTAACTTCTTCGGATGTGTGCATTCGACTAACAGAATGGAACATTCCCTTTGATAGAGCAGTTTTGAGACACCGTTTTTGTAGAATTCCCAAGTGGATATTTAGAGCACTTTGAAGTCTCTGCTAGAAAAGGAAACATCTTCATGTAAAAAGTAGATAGAATCGTTCTCAGAAAGTGCTTAGTGACGTGTGTGTTCAACTCACAGAGTTTAACGTTTCTTTTGATAGAGCGTTTCTGAAACACCCTTCTTGTAGTAGCTGCAAGTGGATATTTGGACCTATTTGAGGCCTTCTTTGGAAACGGGATTTCTTCATGTAACTCTAGTTTGAAGAATTTTCAGAAACTCCTTTGTGATGTGTGCATTCAATTCAAAGAGTGAAACCTCCCTTTTCACAGAGCAGTTTTGAAACACTGTTTTTGTAGGATTTCCAAGGGGATATTTATAGCGCATTGAGCCTACGGCAGAAAAAGAAACATCTTCCTATAAAAACTAGACAGAATAATTCTCAGAATCTGCTTTGCGATGTGTGCGTTCAACCCACAGAGTAAAACTTTTCTTTTGATAGAGCAGTTTTGAAACACTCTTTTTGTAGTATTTGCATGTGTATATTTAGAGCGCATTGAAGCCCACAGTAGAAAAGGAAATAACTTCACCTAAAACCTAGACAGAAGCAATCTCAGAAACTACTTTGTGATGTGTACATTCAACTCACCGAGTGGAACTTTCCTCTTTATAGAGCAGTGTTGAAACACTCTTTTTGTAGAAACTGCAAGTGGATATTTGGACCTCTTTGAGGCCTTCGTTGGAAACGGGATTTCTTCCTATAACCCTAGACAGAAGAATTTTCAGAAACCTCATTGTGATGTGTGCGTTCATCTCACAGAGTGGAGTCTTCCGTTTGATAGAGAAGTTTTGAAACCCTGTTCTTGTAGGATTTCCAAGTGGATATTTAGACCACTTTGAAGCCTATGATAGAAAAGGAAACATCTTCATGGAAAACATAGATAGAATCATTCTCAGAAACAACTTTGTGATGTGTGCGTTGAACTCACCGTCTTTAACCTTTCTTTTGGTAGAGAAGTTTTGAAACACTCTCTTTGTAAAGTCTACAAGTGGATATTTTGAGCCCTTGGAGGCATTCTTTGGAAAAGGGAATGTCTTCACATAAAAGGCAGACAGAAGTGTTCTCAGAAACTGCTTTGTGATGTCTGTGTTCAACTCACAGAGTTTAACATTTCCTTTGAGAGAGCGGTTTAGTAACACTCTCTTTGTAGAATTTGGAAGTGTATACTAAGAGCGCTTTGAGGCCTATGGTAGAAAAGGAAATATCTTTCCATAAAAGCTAGACAGAAGCAATCTCAGAAACTCCTTTGTGATGTCTGCATTCAACTCACCGAGTGGAACATTCCTCTTGATAGAGCAGTTTGGAAACACTCTTTCTGTAGAATCAGCTTGTTTGTATTTGGACCTCCTTGAGGCCTTCGTTGGAAACGGGTTTTCATCTTATAAACCCAGACAGAAGAATTCTCAGAGTCTTCTTTGTGATGTGTGCTTTCAACTCACCGAGATAAAGATTTCTCTTGATAGAGCAATTTGGAAACACTCTTTTTGTAGAATTTGCAAGGGTACATTGAGAGCGCTTTCAGGCCTATGGTAGAAAAGGGAATATCTTTCCATAAAAGGTAGACAGAAGCAATCTCAGAAACTACTTTGTGATGTGTGCATTCAACTCACCGAGTGCAACATTCCTCTTGACCGAGCAGTTTGGAAACATTGTTTCTGTAGAATCTGCAAGTGGATATTTGGACCTCTTTGAGGCCTTCGTTGGAAACGGGATTTCTTCCTATAAACCCAGACAGAAGAATTCTCAGAGACTTCTTTGTGATGTGTGAATTCAACTCACAGTGTGGATCCTTCCTTTTGATAGAGCAGTTTTGAAACACTGTTTTGGTAGTATTTACAAGCGGATATTTGGAACGCCTTGAAGCGTATGGTAGAAAAGGAAATATCTTCCCATAAAACCTAGACAGAACCAATCTCAGAAACGACTTTGTGATGTCTGCATTCAACTCACAGAGTTGAACATTTCTCTTGATAGAGCAGTTTTGAAACCCTCTTTCTGAAGGATCTGCAAGTGGATATTTGGAACTCCTTTGGGTCTTCTTTGGAAACGGGATTTCTTCGTATAAATCGAGCCAGAAGAATTCTCCGAAACTTCTTTGGTTGTGTGCATTCAAGTCACAGAGTGGAACCTTCCTTTGGATAGAGCAGTTTGAAACGCTGTGGTTGTAGTATTTCCAAGCGGATATTAGAGCGCCTTGAGGCCTATGGTAGAAAAGGAAATATCTTCCCATAAAACCTAGACGGAAGCAATCTCAGAAACTACTGTGTGATGGCTGCATTCCACACACACGGTGGAACATTTCTCTTGATAGAGCAGTTTTGAAACACTCTTTCTGTAGAATCTGCAAGTGGATAATTGGACCGCCTTGAGGCCTTCGTTGGAAACGGGATTTCTTCATGTTACTCTAGACAGAAGAATTCTCAAACACTGCTATGTGATGTTTGCATGCAAGTCACAGAGTGCAACATTCCTCTTGATAGAGCAGTTGGGAAACACTCCTGTTGTAGAATTTGCAATGGGATATTTGGACTTCTTTGAGGCCTTCGTTGGAAACGGGATTTCTTCGTATGAATCTAGACAGAAGAACTCTCAGAAACTTCCTGGTGATGTGTGCATTCAACTCAGCGAGTGGCACCTTCCTTTGGATACAGCAGTTTTGAAACACTGTTTTTGTAGTATTTCCAAGCGGATATTTAGAGCGCCTTGAAGCCTATGCTAGAAATGGAAATATCTCCCCATAAAACCAAGACAGAAGCAATCTCAGAAACTAATGTGTGATGGCTGCATTCCACACACACGGTGGACCATTTCTCTTGATAGAGCAGTTTTGAAACACTCTTTCTATAGAATCTGCAAGTGGATAATTGGACCTCCTAGAGGCCTTCGTTGGAAACGGGATTTCTTCATCTAAACCTACAGAGAAGAATTCTCAGTAACTTCTTCGGATGTGTGCATTCGACTCACAGAATGGAACATTCCCTTTGATAGAGCAGTTTTGAGACACCGTTTTTGTAGAATTCCCAAGTGGATATTTAGAGCACTTTGAAGTCTCTGCTAGAAAAGGAAACATCTTCATGTAAAAAGTAGATAGAATCGTTCTCAGAAAGTGCTTAGTGACGTGTGTGTTCCACTCACAGGGTTTAACGTTTCTTTTGTTAGAGCGTTTCTGAAACACCCTTCTTGTAGTAGCTGCAAGTGGATATTTGGACCTATTTGAGGCCTTCTTTGTAAACGGGATTTCTTCATGTAACTCTAGATTGAAGAATTCTCAGAAACTCCTTTGTGATGTGTGCATTCAATTCAAAGAGTGAAACCTCCCTTTTCACAGAGCAGTTTTGAAACACTGTTTTTGTAGGATTTCCAAGGGGATATTTATAGCGCATTGAGCCTACGGCAGAAAAAGAAACATCTTCCTATAAAAACTAGACAGAATAATTCTCAGAATCTGCTTTGCGATGTGTGCGTTCAACTCACAGAGTAAAACTTTTCTTTTGATAGAGCAGTTTTGAAACACTCTTTTTGTAGTATTTGCATGTGTATATTTAGAGCGCATTGAAGCCCACAGTAGAAAAGGAAATAACTTCACCTAAAACCTAGACAGAAGCAATCTCAGAAACTACTTTGTGATGTGTACATTCAACTCACAGAGTGGAACTTTCCTCTTTATAGAGCAGTGTTGAAACACTCTTTTTGTAGAAACTGCAAGTGGATATTTGGACCTCTTTGAGGCCTTCGTTGGAAACGGGATTTCTTCCTATAACCCTAGACAGAAGAATTTTCAGAAACCTCATTGTGATGTGTGCGTTCATCTCACAGAGTGGAGTCTTCCGTTTGATAGAGAAGTTTTGAAACCCTGTTCTTGTAGGATTTCCAAGTGGATATTTAGACCACTTTGAAGCCTATGATAGAAAAGGAAACATCTTCATGGGAAAACATAGATAGAATCATTCTCAGAAACAACTTTGTGATGTGTGCGTTGAACTCACCGTCTTTAACCTTTCTTTTGGTAGAGAAGTTTTGAAACACTCTCTTTGTAAAGTCTACAAGTGGATATTTTGAGCCCTTGGAGGCATTCTTTGGAAAAGGGAATGTCTTCACATAAAAGGCAGACAGAAGTGTTCTCAGAAACTGCTTTGTGATGTCTGTGTTCAACTCACAGAGTTTAACATTTCCTTTGAGAGAGCGGTTTAGTAACACTCTCTTTGTAGAATTTGGAAGTGTATACTAAGAGCGCTTTGAGGCCTATGGTAGAAAAGGAAATATCTTCCATAAAAGCTAGACAGAAGCAATCTCAGAAACTCCTTTGTGATGTCTGCATTCAACTCACCGAGTGGAACATTCCTCTTGATAGAGCAGTTTGGAAACACTCTTTCTGTAGAATCAGCTTGTTTGTATTTGGACCTCCTTGAGGCCTTCGTTGGAAACGGGTTTTCATCTTATAAACCCAGACAGAAGAATTCTCAGAGTCTTCTTTGTGATGTGTGCTTTCAACTCACCGAGATAAAGATTTCTCTTGATAGAGCAATTTGGAAACACTCTTTTTGTAGAATTTGCAAGGGTACATTGAGAGCGCTTTCAGTCCTATGGTAGAAAAGGGAATATCTTTCCATAAAATGTAGACAGAAGCAATCTCAGAAACTACTTTGTGATGTGTGCATTCAACTCACCGAGTGCAACATTCCTCTTGATAGAGCAGTTTGGAAACATTGTTTCTGTAGAATCTGCAAGTGGATATATGGACCGCTTTGAGGCCTTCGTTGGAAACGGGATTTCTTCCTATAAACCCAGACAGAAGAATTCTCAGAGATTTCTTTGTGATGTGTGAATTCAACTCACAGTGTGGATCCTTCCTTTTGATAGAGCAGTTTTGAAACACCGTTTTTGTAGTATTTCCAAGCGGATATTTGGAACGCCTTGAAGCGTATGGTAGAAAAGGAAATATCTTCCCATAAAACCTAGACAGAACCAATCTCAGAAACGACTTTGTGATGTCTGCATTCAACTCACAGAGTTGAACATTTCTCTTGATAGAGCAATTTTGAAACCCTCTTTCTGAAGGATCTGCAAGTGGATATTTGGAACTCCTTTGGGTCTTCGTTGGAAACGGGATTTCTTCGTATAAATCCAGACAGAAGAATTCTCCGAAACTTCTTTGGTTGTGTGCATTCAAGTCACAGAGTGGAACCTTCCTTTGGATAGAGCAGTTTGAAACGCTGTGGTTGTAGTATTTCCAAGCGGATATTAGAGCGCCTTGAAGCCTATGGTAGAAAAGGAAATATCTTCCCATAAAACCTAGACGGAAGCAATCTCAGAAACTACTGTGTGATGGCTGCATTCCACACACACGGTGGAACATTTCTCTTGATAGAGCAGTTTTGAAACACTCTTTCTGTAGAATCTGCAAGTGGATAATTGGACCGCCTTGAGGCCTTCGTTGGAAACGGGATTTCTTCATGTTACTCTAGACAGAAGAATTCTCAAACACTGCTATGTGATGTTTGCATTCAAGTCACAGAGTGCAACATTCCTCTTGATAGAGCAGTTGGCAAACACTCCTTTTGTAGAATTTGCAATGGGATATTTGGACTTCTTTGAGGCCTTCGTTGGAAACGGGATTTCTTCGTATGAATCTAGACAGAAGAATTCTCAGAAACTTCCTTGTGATGTGTGCATTCAACTCAGCGAGTGGCACCTTCCTTTGGATACAGCAGTTTTGAAACACTGTTTTTGTACTATTTCCAAGCGGATATTTAGAGCGCCTTGAAGCCTATGCTAGAAATGGAAATATCTCCCCATAAAACCAAGACAGAAGCAATCTCAGAAACTAATGTGTGATGGCTGCATTCCACACACACGGTGGACCATTTCTCTTGATAGAGCAGTTTTGAAACACTCTTTCTGTAGAATCTGCAAGTGGATAATTGGACCTCCTAGAGGCCTTCGTTGGAAACGGGATTTCTTCATCTAAACCTACAGAGAAGAATTCTCAGTAACTTCTTCGGATGTGTGCATTCGACTCACAGAATGGAACATTCCGTTTGATAGAGCAGTTTTGAGACACCGTTTTTGTAGAATTCCCAAGTGGATATTTAGAGCACTTTGAAGTCTCTGCTAGAAAAGGAAACATCTTCATGTAAAAAGTAGATAGAATCGTTCTCAGAAAGTGCTTAGTGACGTGTGCGTTCAACTCACAGAGTTTAACGTTTCTTTTGATAGAGCGTTTCTGAAACACCCTTCTTGTACTAGCTGCAAGTGGATATTTGGACCTATTTGAGGCCTTCTTTGGAAACGGGATTTCTTCATGTAACTCTAGTTTGAAGTAATTTTCAGAAACTCCTTTGTGATGTGTGCATTCAATTCAAAGAGTGAAACCTCCCTTTTCACAGAGCAGTTTTGAAACACTGTTTTTGTAGGATTTCCAAGGGGATATTTATAGCGCATTGAGCCTACGGCAGAAAAAGAAACATCTTCCTATAAAAACTAGACAGAATAATTCTCAGAATCTGCTTTGCGATGTGTGCGTTCAACTCACAGAGTAAAACTTTTCTTTTGATAGAGCAGTTTTGAAACACTCTTTTTGTAGTATTTGCATGTGTATATTTAGAGCGCATTGAAGCCCACAGTAGAAAAGGAAATAACTTCACCTAAAACCTAGACAGAAGCAATCTCAGAAACTACTTTGTGATGTGTACATTCAACTCACAGAGTGGAACTTTCCTCTTTATAGAGCAGTGTTGAAACACTCTTTTTGTAGAAACTGCAAGTGGATATTTGGACCTCTTTCAGGCCTTCGTTGGAAACGGGATTTCTTCCTATAACCCTAGACAGAAGAATTTTCAGAAACCTCATTGTGATGTGTGCGTTCATCTCACAGAGTGGAGTCTTCCGTTTGATAGAGAAGTTTTGAAACCCTGTTCTTGTAGGATTTCCAAGTGGATATTTAGACCACTTTGAAGCCTATGATAGAAAAGGAAACATCTTCATGGAAAACATAGATAGAATCATTCTCAGAAACAACTTTGTGATGTGTGCGTTGAACTCACCGTCTTTAACCTTTCTTTTGGTAGAGAAGTTTTGAAACACTCTCTTTGTAAAGTCTACAAGTGGATATTTTGAGCCCTTGGAGGCATTCTTTGGAAAAGGGAATGTCTTCACATAAAAGGCAGACAGAAGTGTTCTCAGAAACTGCTTTGTGATGTCTGTGTTCAACTCACAGAGTTTAACATTTCCTTTGAGAGAGCGGTTTAGTAACACTCTCTTTGTAGAATTTGGAAGTGTATACTAAGAGCGCTTTGAGGCCTATGGTAGAAAAGGAATTATCTTTCCATAAAAGCTAGACAGAAGCAATCTCAGAAACTCCTTTGTGATGTCTGCATTCAACTCACCGAGTGGAACATTCCTCTTGATAGAGCAGTTTGGAAACACTCTTTCTGTAGAATCAGCTTGTTTGTATTTGGACCTCCTTGAGGCCTTCGTTGGAAACGGGTTTTCATCTTATAAACCCAGACAGAAGAATTCTCAGAGTCTTCTTTGTGATGTGTGCTTTCAACTCACCGAGATAAAGATTTCTCTTGATAGAGCAATTTGGAAACACTCTTTTTGTAGAATTTGCAAGGGTACATTGAGAGCGCTTTCAGGCCTATGGTAGAAAAGGGAATATCTTTCCATAAAAGGTAGACAGAAGCAATCTCAGAAACTACTTTGTGATGTGTGCATTCAACTCACCGAGTGCAACATTCCTCTTGACCGAGCAGTTTGGAAACATTGTTTCTGTAGAATCTGCAAGTGGATATTTGGACCTCTTTGAGGCCTTCGTTGGAAACGGGATTTCTTCCTATAAACCCAGACAGAAGAATTCTCAGAGATTTCTTTGTGATGTGTGAATTCAACTCACAAGTGTGGATCCTTCCTTTTGATAGAGCAGTTTTGAAACACTGTTTTTGTAGTATTTCCAAGCGGATATTTGGAACGCCTTGAAGCGTATGGTAGAAAAGGAAATATCTTCCCATAAAACCTAGACAGAACCCATCTCAGAAACGACTTTGTGATGTCTGCATTCAACTCACAGAGTTGAACATTTCTCTTGATAGAGCAGTTTTGAAACCTTCTTTCTGAAGGATCTGCAAGTGGATATTTGGAACTCCTTTGGGTCTTCGTTGGAAACGGGATTTCTTCGTATAAATCCAGAGAGAAGAATTCTCCGAAACTTCTTTGGTTGTGTGCATTCAAGTCACAGAGTGGAACCTTCCTTTGGATAGAGCAGTTTGAAACGCTGTGGTTGTAGTATTTTCAAGCGGATATTAGAGCGCCTTGAAGCCTATGGTAGAAAAGGAAATATCTTCCCATAAAACCTAGACGGAAGCAATCTCAGAAACTACTGTGTGATGGCTGCATTCCACACACACGGTGGAACATTTCTCTTGATAGAGCAGTTTTGAAACACTCTTTCTGTAGAATCTGCAAGTGGATAATTGGACCGCCTTGAGGCCTTCGTTGGAAACGGGATTTCTTCATGTTACTCTAGACAGAAGAATTCTCAAACACTGCTATGTGATGTTTGCATTCAAGTCACAGAGTGCAACATTCCTCTTGATAGAGCAGTTGGGAAACACTCCTTTTGTAGAATTTGCAATGGGATATTTGGACTTCTTTGAGGCCTTCGTTGGAAACGGGATTTCTTCGTATGAATCTAGACAGAAGAATTCTCAGAAACTTCCTTGTGATGTGTGCATTCAACTCAGCGAGTGGCACCTTCCTTTGGATACAGCAGTTTTGAAACACTGTTTTTGTAGTATTTCCAAGCGGATATTTAGAGCGCCTTGAAGCCTATGCTAGAAATGGAAATATCTCCCCATAAAACCAAGACAGAAGCAATCTCAGAAACTAATGTGTGATGGCTGCATTCCACACACACGGTGGACCATTTCTCTTGATAGAGCAGTTTTGAAACACTCTTTCTGTAGAATCTGCAAGTGGATAATTGGACCTCCTAGAGGCCTTCGTTGGAAACGGGATTTCTTCATCTAAACCTACAGAGAAGAATTCTCAGTAACTTCTTCGGATGTGTGCATTCGACTCACAGAATGGAACATTCCCTTTGATAGAGCAGTTTTGAGACACCGTTTTTGTAGAATTCCCAAGTGGATATTTAGAGCACTTTGAAGTCTCTGCTAGAAAAGGAAACATCTTCATGTAAAAAGTAGATAGAATCGTTCTCAGAAAGTGCTTAGTGACGTGTGCGTTCAACTCACAGAGTTTAACGTTTCTTTTGATAGAGCGTTTCTGAAACACCCTTCTTGTAGTAGCTGCAAGTGGATATTTGGACCTATTTGAGGCCTTCTTTGGAAACGGGATTTCTTCATGTAACTCTAGATTGAAGAATTTTCAGAAACTCCTTTGTGATGTGTGCATTCAATTCAAAGAGTGAAACCTCCCTTTTCACAGAGCAGTTTTGAAACACTGTTTTTGTAGGACTTCCAAGGGGATATTTATAGCGCATTGAGCCTATGGCAGAAAAAGAAACATCTTCCTATAAAAACTAGACAGAATAATTCTCAGAATCTGCTTTGCGATGTGTGCGTTCAACCCACAGAGTAAAACTTTTCTTTTGATAGAGCAGTTTTGAAACACTCTTTTTGTAGTATTTGCATGTGTATATTTAGAGCGCATTGAAGCCCACAGTAGAAAAGGAAATAACTTCACCTAAAACCTAGACAGAAGCAATCTCAGAAACTACTTTGTGATGTGTACATTCAACTCACAGAGTGGAACTTTCCTCTTTATAGAGCAGTGTTGAAACACTCTTTTTGTAGAAACTGCAAGTGGATATTTGGACCTTCTTTGAGGCCTTCGTTGGAAACGGGATTTCTTCCTATAACCCTAGACAGAAGAATTTTCAGAAACCTCATTGTGATGTGTGCGTTCATCTCACAGAGTGGAGTCTTCCGTTTGATAGAGAAGTTTTGAAACCGTGTTCTTGTAGGATTTCCAAGTGGATATTTAGACCACTTTGAAGCCTATGATAGAAAAGGAAACATCTTCATGAAAAACATAGATAGAATCATTCTCAGAAACAACTTTGTGATGTGTGCGTTGAACTCACCGTCTTTAACCTTTCTTTTGGTAGAGAAGTTTTGAAACACTCTCTTTGTAAAGTCTACGAGTGGATATTTTGAGCCCTTGGAGGCATTCTTTGGAAAAGGGAATGTCTTCACATAAAAGGCAGACAGAAGTGTTCTCAGAAACTGCTTTGTGATGTCTGTGTTCAACTCACAGAGTTTAACATTTCCTTTGAGAGAGCGGTTTAGTAACACTCTCTTTGTAGAATTTGGAAGTGTATACTAAGAGCGCTTTGAGGCCTATGGTAGAAAAGGAATTATCTTTCCATAAAAGCTAGACAGAAAGCAATCTCAGAAACTCCTTTGTGATGTCTGCATTCAACTCACCGAGTGGAACATTCCTCTTGATAGAGCAGTTTGGAAACACTCTTTCTGTAGAATCAGCTTGTTTGTATTTGGACCTCCTTGAGGCCTTCGTTGGAAACGGGTTTTCATCTTATAAACCCAGACAGAGAATTCTCAGAGTCTTCTTTGTGATGTGTGCTTTCAACTCACCGAGATAAAGATTTCTCTTGATAGAGCAATTTGGAAACACTCTTTTTGTAGAATTTGCAAGGGTACATTGAGAGCGCTTTCAGGCCTATGGTAGAAAAGGGAATATCTTTCCATCAAAGGTAGACAGAAGCAATCTCAGAAACTACTTTGTGATGTGTGCATTCAACTCACCGAGTGCAACATTCCTCTTGATAGAGCAGTTTGGAAACATTGTTTCTGTAGAATCTGCAAGTGGATATATGGACCGCTTTGAGGCCTTCGTTGGAAACGGGATTTCTTCCTATAAACCCAGACAGAAGAATTCTCAGAGACTTCTTTGTGATGTGTGAATTCAACTCACAGTGTGGATCCTTCCTTTTGATAGAGCAGTTTTGAAACACTGTTTTTGTAGTATTTCCAAGCGGATATTTGGAACGCCTTGAAGCGTATGGTAGAAAAGGAAATATCTTCCCATAAAACCTACACAGAACCCATCTCAGAAACGACTTTGTGATGTCTGCATTCAACTCACAGAGTTGAACATTTCTCTTGATAGAGCAGTTTTGAAACCCTCTTTCTGAAGGATCTGCAAGTGGATATTTAGAACTCCTTTGGGTCTTCGTTGGAAACGGGATTTCTTCGTATAAATCCAGACAGAAGAATTCTCCGAAACTTCTTTGGTTGTGTGCATTCAAGTCACAGAGTGGAACCTTCCTTTGGATAGAGCAGTTTGAAACGCTGTGGTTGTAGTATTTCCAAGCGGATATTAGAGCGCCTTGAAGCCTATGGTAGAAAAGGAAATATCTTCCCATAAAAACTAGACGGAAGCAATCTCAGAAACTACTGTGTGATGGCTGCATTCCACACACACGGTGGAACATTTCTCTTGATAGAGCAGTTTTGAAACACTCTTTCTGTAGAATCTGCAAGTGGATAATTGGACCGCCTTGAGGCCTTCGTTGGAAACGGGATTTCTTCATGTTACTCTAGACAGAAGAATTCTCAAACACTGCTGTGTGATGTTTGCATTCAAGTCACAGAGTGCAACATTCCTCTTGATAGAGCAGTTGGGAAACACTCCTTTTGTAGAATTTGCAATGGGATATTTGGACTTCTTTGAGGCCTTCGTTGGAAACGGGATTTCTTCGTATGAATCTAGACAGAAGAATTCTCAGAAACTTCCCTTGTGATGTGTGCATTCAACTCAGCGAGTGGCACCTTCCCTTTGGATACAGCAGTTTTGAAACACTGTTTTTGTAGTATTTCCAAGCGGATATTTAGAGCGCCTTGAAGCCTATGCTAGAAATGGAAATATCTCCCCATAAAACCAAGACAGAAGCAATCTCAGAAACTAATGTGTGATGGCTGCATTCCACACACACGGTGGACCATTTCTCTTGATAGAGCAGTTTTGAAACACTCTTTCTGTAGAATCTGCAAGTGGATAATTGGACCTCCTAGAGGCCTTCGTTGGAAACGGGATTTCTTCATCTAAACCTACAGAGAAGAATTCTCAGTAACTTCTTCGGATGTGTGCATTCGACTCACAGAATGGAACATTCCCTTTGATAGAGCAGTTTTGAGACACCGTTTTTGTAGAATTCCCAAGTGGATATTTAGAGCACTTTGAAGTCTCTGCTAGAAAAGGAAACATCTTCATGTAAAAAGTAGATAGAATCGTTCTCAGAAAGTGCTTAGTGACGTGTGCGTTCAACTCACAGAGTTTAACGTTTCTTTTGATAGAGCGTTTCTGAAACACCCTTCTTGTAGTAGCTGCAAGTGGATATTTGGACCTATTTGAGGCCTTCTTTGGAAACGGGATTTCTTCATGTAACTCTAGATTGAAGAATTTTCAGAAACTCCTTTGTGAAGTGTGCATTCAATTCAAAGAGTGAAACCTCCCTTTTCACAGAGCAGTTTTGAAACACTGTTTTTGTAGGATTTCCAAGGGGATATTTATAGCGCATTGATCCTATGGCAGAAAAAGAAACATCTTCCTATAAAAACTAGACAGAATAATTCTCAGAATCTGCTTTGCGATGTGTGCGTTCAACTCACAGAGTAAAACTTTTCTTTTGATAGAGCAGTTTTGAAACACTCTTTTTGTAGTATTTGCATGTGTATATTTAGAGCGCATTGAAGCCCACAGTAGAAAAGGAAATAACTTCACCTAAAACCTAGACAGAAGCAATCTCAGAAACTACTTTGTGATGTGTACATTCAACTCACAGAGTGGAACTTTCCTCTTTATAGAGCAGTGTTGAAACACTCTTTTTGTAGAAACTGCAAGTGGATATTTGGACCTCTTTGAGGCCTTCGTTGGAAACGGGATTTCTTCCTATAACCCTAGACAGAAGAATTTTCAGAAACCTCATTGTGATGTGTGCGTTCATCTCACAGAGTGGAGTCTTCCGTTTGATAGAGAAGTTTTGAAACCCTGTTCTTGTAGGATTTCCAAGTGGATATTTAGACCACTTTGAAGCCTATGATACAAAAGGAAACATCTTCATGGAAAACATAGATAGAATCATTCTCAGAAACAACTTTGTGATGTGTGCGTTGAACTCACCGTCTTTAACCTTTCTTTTGGTAGAGAAGTTTTGAAACACTCTCTTTGTAAAGTCTACAAGTGGATATTTTGAGCCCTTGGAGGCATTCTTTGGAAAAGGGAATGTCTTCACATAAAAGGCAGACAGAAGTGTTCTCAGAAACTGCTTTGTGATGTCTGTGTTCAACTCACAGAGTTTAACATTTCCTTTGAGAGAGCGGTTTAGTAACACTCTCTTTGTAGAATTTGGAAGTGTATACTAAGAGCGCTTTGAGGCCTATGGTAGAAAAGGAAATATCTTTCCATAAAAGCTAGACAGAAGCAATCCCAGAAACTCCTTTGTGATGTCTGCATTCAACTCACCGAGTGGAACATTCCTCTTGATAGAGCAGTTTGGAAACACTCTTTCTGTAGAATCAGCTTGTTTGTATTTGGACCTCCTTGAGGCCTTCGTTGGAAACGGGTTTTCCTTCTTATAAACCCAGACAGAATAATTCTCAGAATCTGCTTTGCGATGTGTGCGTTCAACCCACAGAGTAAAACTTTTCTTTTGATAGAGCAGTTTTGAAAAACTCTTTTTGTAGTATTTGCAAGGGTACATTGAGAGCGCTTTCAGGCCTATGGTAGAAAAGGGAATATCTTTCCATCAAAGGTAGACAGAAGCAATCTCAGAAACTACTTTGTGATGTGTGCATTCAACTCACCGAGTGCAACATTCCTCTTGACCGAGCAGTTTGGAAACATTGTTTCTGTAGAATCTGCAAGTGGATATTTGGACCTCTTTGAGGCCTTCGTTGGAAACGGGATTTCTTCCTATAAACCCAGACAGAAGAATTCTCAGAGATTTCTTTGTGATGTGTGAATTCAACTCACAGTGTGGATCCTTCCTTTTGATAGAGCAGTTTTGAAACACTGTTTTTGTAGTATTTCCAAGCGGATATTTGGAACGCCTTGAAGCGTATGGTAGAAAAGGAAATATCTTCCCATAAAACCTAGACAGAACCAATCTCAGAAACGACTTTGTGATGTCTGCATTCAACTCACAGAGTTGAACATTTCTCTTGATAGAGCAGTTTTGAAACCCTCTTTCTGAAGGATCTGCAAGTGGATATTTGGAACTCCTTTGGGTCTTCGTTGGAAACGGGATTTCTTCGTATAAATCCAGACAGAAGAATTCTCCGAAACTTCTTTGGTTGTGTGCATTCAAGTCACAGAGTGGAACCTTCCTTTGGATAGAGCAGTTTGAAACGCTGTGGTTGTAGTATTTCCAAGCGGATATTAGAGCGCCTTGAGGCCTATGGTAGAAAAGGAAATATCTTCCCATAAAACCTAGACGGAAGCAATCTCAGAAACTACTGTGTGATGGCTGCATTCCACACACACGGTGGAACATTTCTCTTGATAGAGCAGTTTTGAAACACTCTTTCTGTAGAATCTGCAAGTGGATAATTGGACCGCCTTGAGGCCTTCGTTGGAAACGGGATTTCTTCATGTTACTCTAGACAGAAGAATTCTCAAACACTGCTGTGTGATGTTTGCATGCAAGTCACAGAGTGCAACATTCCTCTTGATAGAGCAGTTGGGAAACACTCCTTTTGTAGAATTTGCAATGGGATATTTGGACTTCTTTGAGGCCTTCGTTGGAAACGGGATTTCTTCGTATGAATCTAGACAGAAGAATTCTCAGAAACTTCCTTGTGATGTGTGCATTCAACTCAGCGAGTGGCACCTTCCTTTGGATACAGCAGTTTTGAAACACTGTTTTTGTAGTATTTCCAAGCGGATATTTAGAGCGCCTTGAAGCCTATGCTAGAAATGGAAATATCTCCCCATAAAACCAAGACAGAAGCAATCTCAGAAACTAATGTGTGATGGCTGCATTCCACACACACGGTGGACCATTTCTCTTGATAGAGCAGTTTTGAAACACTCTTTCTGTAGAATCTGCAAGTGGATAATTGGACCTCCTAGAGGCCTTCGTTGGAAACGGGATTTCTTCATCTAAACCTACAGAGAAGAATTCTCAGTAACTTCTTCGGATGTGTGCATTCGACTCACAGAATGGAACATTCCCTTTGGTAGAGCAGTTTTGAGACACCGTTTTTGTAGAATTCCCAAGTGGATATTTAGAGCACTTTGAAGTCTCTGCTAGAAAAGGAAACATCTTCATGTAAAAAGTAGATAGAATCGTTCTCAGAAAGTGCTTAGTGACGTGTGCGTTCAACTCACAGAGTTTAACGTTTCTTTTGATAGAGCGTTTCTGAAACACCCTTCTTGTAGTAGCTGCAAGTGGATATTTGGACCTATTTGAGGCCTTCTTTGGAAACGGGATTTCTTCATGTAACTCTAGATTGAAGAATTTTCAGAAACTCCTTTGTGAAGTGTGCATTCAATTCAAAGAGTGAAACCTCCCTTTTCACAGAGCAGTTTTGAAACACTGTTTTTGTAGGATTTCCAAGGGGATATTTATAGCGCATTGAGCCTATGGCAGAAAAAGAAACATCTTCCTATAAAAACTAGACAGAATAATTATCAGAATCTGCTTTGCGATGTGTGCGTTCAACTCACAGAGTAAAACTTTTCTTTTGATAGAGCAGTTTTGAAACACTCTTTTTGTAGTATTTGCATGTGTATATTTAGGGCGCATTGAAGCCCACAGTAGAAAAGGAAATAACTTCACCTAAAACCTAGACAGAAGCAATCTCAGAAACTACTTTGTGATGTGTACATTCAACTCACAGAGTGGAACTTTTCTCTTTATAGAGCAGTGTTGAAACACTCTTTTTGTAGAAACTGCAAGTGGATATTTGGACCTCTTTGAGGCCTTCGTTGGAAACGGGATTTCTTCCTATAACCCTAGACAGAAGAATTTTCAGAAACCTCATTGTGATGTGTGCGTTCATCTCACAGAGTGGAGTCTTCCGTTTGATAGAGAAGTTTTGAAACCCTGTTCTTGTAGGATTTCCAAGTGGATATTTAGACCACTTTGAAGCCTATGATAGAAAAGGAAACATCTTCATGGAAAACATAGATAGAATCATTCTCAGAAACAACTTTGTGATGTGTGCGTTGAACTCACCGTCTTTAACCTTTCTTTTGGTAGAGAAGTTTTGAAACACTCTCTTTGTAAAGTCTACAAGTGGATATTTTGAGCCCTTGGAGGCATTCTTTGGAAAAGGGAATGTCTTCACATAAAAGGCAGACAGAAGTGTTCTCAGAAACTGCTTTGTGATGTCTGTGTTCAACTCACAGAGTTTAACATTTCCTTTGAGAGAGCGGTTTAGTAACACTCTCTTTGTAGAATTTGGAAGTGTATACTAAGAGCGCTTTGAGGCCTATGGTAGAAAAGGAAATATCTTTCCATAAAAGCTAGACAGAAGCAATCTCAGAAACTCCTTTGTGATGTCTGCATTCAACTCACCGAGTGGAACATTCCTCTTGATAGAGCAGTTTGGAAACACTCTTTCTGTAGAATCAGCTTGTTTGTATTTGGACCTCCTTGAGGCCTTCGTTGGAAACGGGTTTTCATCTTATAAACCCAGACAGAAGAATTCTCAGAGTCTTCTTTGTGATGTGTGCTTTCAACTCACCGAGATAAAGATTTCTCTTGATACAGCAATTTGGAAACACTCTTTTTGTAGAATTTGCAAGGGTACATTGAGAGCGCTTTCAGGCCTATGGTAGAAAAGGGAATATCTTTCCATCAAAGGTAGACAGAAGCAATCTCAGAAACTATTTTGTGATGTGTGCATTCAACTCACCGAGTGCAACATTCCTCTTGATAGAGCAGTTTGGAAACATTGTTTCTGTAGAATCTGCAAGTGGATATTTGGACCTCTTTGAGGCCTTCGTTGGAAACGGGATTTCTTCCTATAAACCCAGACAGAAGAATTCTCAGAGACTTCTTTGTGATGTGTGAATTCAACTCACAGTGTGGATCCTTCCTTTTGATAGAGCAGTTTTGAAACACCGTTTTTGTAGTATTTCCAAGCGGATATTTGGAACGCCTTGAAGCGTATGGTAGAAAAGGAAATATCTTCCCATAAAACCTAGACAGAACCAATCTCAGAAACGACTTTGTGATGTCTGCATTCAACTCACAGAGTTGAACATTTCTCTTGATAGAGCAGTTTTGAAACCCTCTTTCTGAAGGATCTGCAAGTGGATATTTGGAACTCCTTTGGGTCTTCGTTGGAAACGGGATTTCTTCGTATAAATCTAGACAGAAGAATTCTCCGAAACTTCTTTGGTTGTGTGCATTCAACTCACAGAGTGGAACCTTCCTTTGGATAGAGCAGTTTGAAACGCTGTGGTTGTAGTATTTCCAAGCGGATATTAGAGCGCCTTGAGGCCTATGGTAGAAAAGGAAATATCTTCCCATAAAACCTAGACGGAAGCAATCTCAGAAACTACTGTGTGATGGCTGCATTCCACACACACGGTGGAACATTTCTCTTGATAGAGCAGTTTTGAAACACTCTTTCTGTAGAATCTGCAAGTGGATAATTGGACCGCCTTGAGGCCTTCGTTGGAAACGGGATTTCTTCATGTTACTCTAGACAGAAGAATTCTCAAACACTGCTGTGTGATGTTTGCATGCAAGTCACAGAGTGCAACATTCCTCTTGATAGAGCAGTTGGGAAACACTCCTTTTGTAGAATTTGCAATGGGATATTTGGACTTCTTTGAGGCCTTCGTTGGAAACGGGATTTCTTCGTATGAATCTAGACAGAAGAATTCTCAGAAACTTCCTTGTGATGTGTGCATTCAACTCAGTGAGTGGCACCTTCCTTTGGATACAGCAGTTTTGAAACACTGTTTTTGTAGTATTTCCAAGCGGATATTTAGAGCGCCTTGAACCCTATGCTAGAAATGGAAATATCTCCCCATAAAACCAAGACAGAAGCAATCTCAGAAACTAATGTGTGATGGCTGCATTCCACACACACGGTGGACCATTTCTCTTGATAGAGCAGTTTTGAAACACTCTTTCTGTAGAATCTGCAAGTGGATAATTGGACCTCCTAGAGGCCTTCGTTGGAAACGGGATTTCTTCATCTAAACCTACAGAGAAGAATTCTCAGTAACTTCTTCGGATGTGTGCATTCGACTCACAGAGTGGAACATTCCCTTCGATAGAGCAGTTTTGAGACACCGTTTTGGTAGAATTCCCAAGTGGATATTTAGAGCACTTTGAAGTCTCTGCTAGAAAAGGAAACATCTTCATGTAAAAAGTACATAGAATCGTTCTCAGAAAGTGCTTAGTGACGTGTGTGTTCAACTCACAGAGTTTAACGTTTCTTTTGATAGAGCGTTTCTGAAACACCCTTCTTGTAGTAGCTGCAAGTGGATATTTGGACCTATTTGAGGCCTTCTTTGGAAACGGGATTTCTTCATGTAACTCTAGATTGAAGAATTTTCAGAAACTCCTTTGTGATGTGTGCATTCAATTCAAAGAGTGAAACCTCCCTTTTCACAGAGCAGTTTTGAAACACTGTTTTTGTAGGATTTCCAAGGGGATATTTATAGCGCATTGAGCCTATGGCAGAAAAAGAAACATCTTCCTATAAAAACTAGACAGAATAATTCTCAGAATCTGCTTTGCGATGTGTGCGTTCAACTCACAGAGTAAAACTTTTCTTTTGATAGAGCAGTTTTGAAACACTCTTTTTGTAGTATTTGCATGTGTATATTTAGAGCGCATTGAAGCCCACAGTAGAAAAGGAAATAACTTCACCTAAAACCTAGACAGAAGCAATCTCAGAAACTACTTTGTGATGTGTACATTCAACTCACAGAGTGGAACTTTTCTCTTTATAGAGCAGTGTTGAAACACTCTTTTTGTAGAAACTGCAAGTGGATATTTGGACCTCTTTGAGGCCTTCGTTGGAAACGGGATTTCTTCCTATAACCCTAGACAGAAGAATTTTCAGAAACCTCATTGTGATGTGTGCGTTCATCTCACAGAGTGGAGTCTTCCGTTTGATAGAGAAGTTTTGAAACCCTGTTCTTGTAGGATTTCCAAGTGGATATTTAGACCACTTTGAAGCCTATGATAGAAAAGGAAACATCTTCATGGAAAACATAGATAGAATCATTCTCAGAAACAACTTTGTGATGTGTGCGTTGAACTCACCGTCTTTAACCTTTCTTTTGGTAGAGAAGTTTTGAAACACTCTCTTTGTAAAGTCTACAAGTGGATATTTTGAGCCCTTGGAGGCATTCTTTGGAAAAGGGAATGTCTTCACATAAAAGGCAGACAGAAGTGTTCTCAGAAACTGCTTTGTGATGTCTGTGTTCAACTCACAGAGTTTAACATTTCCTTTGAGAGAGCGGTTTAGTAACACTCTCTTTGTAGAATTTGGAAGTGTATACTAAGAGCGCTTTGAGGCCTATGGTAGAAAAGGAAATATCTTTCCATAAAAGCTAGACAGAAGCAATCTCAGAAACTCCTTTGTGATGTCTGCATTCAACTCACCGAGTGGAACATTCCTCTTGATAGAGCAGTTTGGAAACACTCTTTCTGTAGAATCAGCTTGTTTGTATTTGGACCTCCTTGAGGCCTTCGTTGGAAACGGGTTTTCATCTTATAAACCCAGACAGAAGAATTCTCAGAGTCTTCTTTGTGATGTGTGCTTTCAACTCACCGAGATAAAGATTTCTCTTGATAGAGCAATTTGGAAACACTCTTTTTGTAGAATTTGCAAGGGTACATTGAGAGCGCTTTCAGGCCTATGGTAGAAAAGGGAATATCTTTCCATAAAAGGTAGACAGAAGCAATCTCAGAAACTACTTTGTGATGTGTGCATTCAACTCACCGAGTGCAACATTCCTCTTGACCGAGCAGTTTGGAAACATTGTTTCTGTAGAATCTGCAAGTGGATATTTGGACCTCTTTGAGGCCTTCGTTGGAAACGGGATTTCTTCCTATAAACCCAGACAGAAGAATTCTCAGAGACTTCTTTGTGATGTGTGAATTCAACTCACAGTGTGGATCCTTCCTTTTGATAGAGCAGTTTTGAAACACCGTTTTTGTAGTATTTCCAAGCGGATATTTGGAACGCCTTGAAGCGTATGGTAGAAAAGGAAATATCTTCCCATAAAACCTAGACAGAACCCATCTCAGAAACGACTTTGTGATGTCTGCATTCAACTCACAGAGTTGAACATTTCTCTTGATAGAGCAGTTTTGAAACCCTCTTTCTGAAGGATCTGCAAGTGGATATTTGGAACTCCTTTGGGTCTTCGTTGGAAACGGGATTTCTTCGTATAAATCCAGACAGAAGAATTCTCCGAAACTTCTTTGGTTGTGTGCATTCAAGTCACAGAGTGGAACCTTCCTTTGGATAGAGCAGTTTGAAACGCTGTGGTTGTAGTATTTCCAAGCGGATATTAGAGCGCCTTGAGGCCTATGGTAGAAAAGGAAATATCTTCCCATAAAACCTAGACGGAAGCAATCTCAGAAACTACTGTGTGATGGCTGCATTCCACACACACGGTGGAACATTTCTCTTGATAGAGCAGTTTTGAAACACTCTTTCTGTAGAATCTGCAAGTGGATAATTGGACCGCCTTGAGGCCTTCGTTGGAAACGGGATTTCTTCATGTTACTCTAGACAGAAGAATTCTCAAACACTGCTATGTGATGTTTGCATTCAAGTCACAGAGTGCAACATTCCTCTTGATAGAGCAGTTGGGAAACACTCCTTTTGTAGAATTTGCAATGGGATATTTGGACTTCTTTGAGGCCTTCGTTGGAAACGGGATTTCTTCGTATGAATCTAGACAGAAGAATTCTCAGAAACTTCCTTGTGATGTGTGCATTCAACTCAGCGAGTGGCACCTTCCTTTGGATACAGCAGTTTTGAAACACTGTTTTTGTACTATTTCCAAGCGGATATTTAGAGCGCCTTGAAGCCTATGCTAGAAATGGAAATATCCTCCCCATAAAACCAAGACAGAAGCAATCTCAGAAACTAATGTGTGATGGCTGCATTCCACACACACGGTGGACCATTTCTCTTGATAGAGCAGTTTTGAAACACTCTTTCTGTAGAATCTGCAAGTGGATAATTGGACCTCCTAGAGGCCTTCGTTGGAAACGGGATTTCTTCATCTAAACCTACAGAGAAGAATTCTCAGTAACTTCTTCGGATGTGTGCATTCGACTCACAGAATGGAACATTCCCTTTGATAGAGCAGTTTTGAGACACCGTTTTTGTAGAATTCCCAAGTGGATATTTAGAGCACTTTGAAGTCTCTGCTAGAAAAGGAAACGACTTCATGTAAAAAGTAGATAGAATCGTTCTCAGAAAGTGCTTAGTGACGTGTGTGTTCAACTCACAGAGTTTAACGTTTCTTTTGATAGAGCGTTTCTGAAACACCCTTCTTGTAGTATCTGCAAGTGGATATTTGGACCTATTTGAGGCTTTCTTTGGAAACGGGATTTCTTCATGTAACTCTAGTTTGAAGTAATTTTCAGAAACTCCTTTGTGATGTGTGCATTCAATTCAAAGAGTGAAACCTCCCTTTTCACAGAGCAGTTTTGAAACACTGTTTTTGTAGGATTTCCAAGGGGATATTTATAGCGCATTGAGCCTACGGCAGAAAAAGAAACATCTTCCTATAAAAACTAGACAGAATAATTCTCAGAATCTGCTTTGCGATGTGTGCGTTCAACTCACAGAGTAAAACTTTTCTTTTGATAGAGCAGTTTTGAAACACTCTTTTTGTAGTATTTGCATGTGCATATTTAGAGCTCATTGAAGCCCACAGTAGAAAAGGAAATAACTTCACCTAAAACCTAGACAGAAGCAATCTCAGAAACTACTTTGTGATGTGTACATTCAACTCACAGAGTGGAACATTCCCCTTTACAGAGCAGTGTTGAAACACTCTTTTTGTAGAAACTGCAGGTGGATATTTGGACCTATTTGAGGCCTTCGTTGGAAAAGGGATTTTTTCCAGTAACCCTAGACAGAAGAATTTTCAGAAAACTCATTGTGATGTGTGCGTTCATCTCACAGAGTGGAGTCTTCCGTTTGATAGAGAAGTTTTGAAACCCTGTTCTTGCATGATTTCCAAGTGGAAATTTAGACCACTTTGAAGCCTATGATAGAAAAGGAAACATCTTCATGGAAAACATAGATAGAATCATTCTCAGAAACAACTTTGTGATGTGTGCGTTGAACTCACAGTCTTTAACCTTTCTTTTGGTAGAGAAGTTTTGAAACACTCTCTTTGTAAAGTCTACAAGTGGATATTTTGGGCCCTTGGAGGCCTTCTTTGGAAAAGGGAATGTCTTCACATAAAAGGCAGACAGAAGTGTTCTCAGAAACTGCTTTGTGATGTCTGTGTTCAACTCACAGAGTTTAACATTTCCTTTGATAGAGCAGTTTAGTAACACTGTCTTTGTAGAATTTGGAAGTGTATACTAAGAGCGCTTTGAGGCCTATGGTAGAAAAGGAAATATCTTTCCATAAAAGCTAGACAGAAGCAATCTCAGAAACTCCTTTGTGATGTCTGCATTCAACTCACCGAGTGGAACATTCCTCTTGATAGAGCAGTTTGGAAACACTCTTTCTGTAGAATCAGCTTGTTTGTATTTGGACCTCCTTGAGGCCTTCGTTGGAAACGGGTTTTCATCTTATAAACCCAGACAGAAGAATTCTCAGAGTCTTCTTTGTGATGTGTGCTTTCAACTCACCGAGATAAAGATTTCTGTTGATAGAGCAATTTGGAAACACTCTTTTTGTAGAATTTGCAAGGGTACATTGAGAGCGCTTTCAGGCCTATGGTAGAAAAGGGAATATCTTTCCATAAAAGGTAGACAGAAGCAATCTCAGAAACTACTTTGTGATATGTGCATTCAACTCACCGAGTGCAACATTCCTCTTGACCGAGCAGTTTGGAAACATTGTTTCTGTAGAATCTGCAAGTGGATATTTGGACCTCTTTGAGGCCTTCGTTGGAAACGGGATTTCTTCCTATAAACCCAGACAGAAGAATTCTCAGAGATTTCTTTGTGATGTGTGAATTCAACTCACAGTGTGGATCCTTCCTTTTGATAGAGCAGTTTTGAAACACTGTTTTTGTAGTATTTCCAAGCGGATATTTGGAACGCCTTGAAGCGTATGGTAGAAAAGGAAATATCTTCCCATAAAACCTAGACAGAACCCATCTCAGAAACGACTTTGTGATGTCTGCGTTCAACTCACAGAGTTGAACATTTCTCTTGATAGAGCAGTTTTGAAACCCTCTTTCTGAAGGATCTGCAAGTGGATATTTGGAACTCCTTTGGGTCTTCGTTGGAAACGGGATTTCTTCGTATAAATCCAGACAGAAGAATTCTCCGAAACTTCTTTGGTTGTGTGCATTCAAGTCACAGAGTGGAACCTTCCTTTGGATAGAGCAGTTTGAAACGCTGTGGTTGTAGTATTTCCAAGCGGATATTAGAGCGCCTTGAGGCCTATGGTAGAAAAGGAAATATCTTCCCATAAAACCTAGACGGAAGCAATCTCAGAAACTACTGTGTGATGGCTGCATTCCACACACACGGTGGAACATTTCTCTTGATAGAGCAGTTTTGAAACACTCTTTCTGTAGAATCTGCAAGTGGATAATTGGACCGCCTTGAGGCCTTCGTTGGAAACGGGATTTCTTCATGTTACTCTAGACAAAAGAATTCTCAAACACTGCTATGTGATGTTTGCATTCAAGTCACAGAGTGCAACATTCCTCTTGATAGAGCAGTTGGGAAACACTCCTTTTGTAGAATTTGCAATGGGATATTTGGACTTCTTTGAGGCCTTCGTTGGAAACGGGATTTCTTCGTATGAATCTAGACAGAAGAATTCTCAGAAACTTCCTTGTGATGTGTGCATTCAACTCAGCGAGTGGCACCTTCCTTTGGATACAGCAGTTTTGAAACACTGTTTTTGTAGTATTTCCAAGCGGATATTCAGAGCGCCTTGAAGCCTATGCTAGAAATGGAAATATCTCCCCATAAAACCAAGACAGAAACAATCTCAGAAACTAATGTGTGATGGCTGCATTCCACACACACGGTGGACCATTTCTCTTGATAGAGCAGTTTTGAAACACTCTTTCTGTAGAATCTGCAAGTGGATAATTGGACCTCCTAGAGGCCCTTCGTTGGAAACGGGATTTCTTCATCTAAACCTACAGAGAAGAATTCTCAGTAACTTCTTCGGATGTGTGCATTCGACTCACAGAATGGAACATTCCCTTTGGTAGAGCAGTTTTGAGACACCGTTTTTGTAGAATTCCCAAGTGGATATTTAGAGCACTTTGAAGTCTCTGCTAGAAAAGGAAACATCTTCATGTAAAAAGTAGATAGAATCGTTCTCAGAAAGTGCTTAGTGACGTGTGCGTTCAACTCACAGAGTTTAACGTTTCTTTTGATAGAGCGTTTCTGAAACACCCTTCTTGTAGTAGCTGCAAGTGGATATTTGGACCTATTTGAGGCCTTCTTTGGAAACGGGATTTCTTCATGTAACTCTAGTTTGAAGAATTTTCAGAAACTCCTTGGTGA
This sequence comes from Homo sapiens, assembly GCF_000001405.40. Taxonomy (NCBI): domain Eukaryota; kingdom Metazoa; phylum Chordata; class Mammalia; order Primates; family Hominidae; genus Homo; species Homo sapiens. Next base: position 59,420,755 of record NC_000006.12, read on the forward strand.
TGTGTGCCTTCAATTCAAAGAGTGAAACGTCCCTTTTCACAGAGCAGTTTTGAAACACTGTTTTTGTAGGATTTCCAAGGGGATATTTATAGCGCATTGAGCCTGCGGCAGAAAAAGAAACATCTTCTTATAAAAACTAGACAGAATGATTCTCAGAATCTGCTTTGCGATGTGTGCGTTCAACCCACAGAGTAAAACTTTTCTTTTGATAGAGCAGTTTTGAAACACTCTTTTTCTAGTATTTGCATGTGTATATTTAGAGCGCATTGAAGCCCACAGTAGGAAAGGAAATAACTTCACCTAAAACCTAGACAGCAGCAATCTCAGAAACTACTTTGTGATGTGTACATTCAACTCACAGAGTGGAACTTTCCCCTTTACAGAGCAGTGTTGAAACACGCTTTTTGTAGAAACTGCAGGTGGATATTTGGACCTCTTTGAGGCCTTCGTTGGAAACGGGATTTCTTCCTATAACCTTAGACAGAAGAATTTTCAGAAACCTCATTGTGATGTGTGCGTTCATCTCACAGAGTGGAGTCTTCCGTTTGATAGAGAAGTTTTGAAACCCTGTTCTTGTAGGATTTCCAAGTGGATATTTAGACCACTTTGAAGCCTATGATAGAAAAGGAAACATCTTTCATGGAAAACATAGATAGAATCATTCTCAGAAACAACTTTGTGATGTGTGCGTTGAACTCACCGTCTTTAACCTTTCTTTTGGTAGAGAAGTTTTGAAACACTCTCTTTGTAAAGTCTACAAGTGGATATTTTGAGCCCTTGGAGGCATTCTTTGGAAAAGGGAATGTCTTCACATAAAAGGCAGACAGAAGTGTTCTCAGAAACTGCTTTGTGATGTCTGTGTTCAACTCACAGAGTTTAACATTTCCTTTGAGAGAGCGGTTTAGTAACACTCTCTTTGTAGAATTTGGAAGTGTATACTAAGAGCGCTTTGAGGCCTATGGTAGAAAAGGAAATATCTTTCCATAAAAGCTAGACAGAAGCAATCTCAGAAACTCCTTTGTGATGTCTGCATTCAACTCACCGAGTGGAACATTCCTCTTGATAGAGCAGTTTGGAAACACTCTTTCTGTAGAATCAGCTTGTTTGTATTTGGACCTCCTTGAGGCCTTCGTTGGAAACGGGTTTTCATCTTATAAACCCAGACAGAAGAATTCTCAGAGTCTTCTTTGTGATGTGTGCTTTCAACTCACCGAGATAAAGATTTCTCTTGATAGAGCAATTTGGAAACACTCTTTTTGTAGAATTTGCAAGGGTACATTGAGAGCGCTTTCAGGCCTATGGTAGAAAAGGGAATATCTTTCCATAAAAGGTAGACAGAAGCAATCTCAGAAACTACTTTGTGATGTGTGCATTCAACTCACCGAGTGCAACATTCCTCTTGATAGAGCAGTTTGGAAACATTGTTTCTGTAGAATCTGCAAGTGGATATATGGACCGCTTTGAGGCCTTCGTTGGAAACGGGATTTCTTCCTATAAACCCAGACAGAAGAATTCTCAGAGACTTCTTTGTGATGTGTGAATTCAACTCACAGTGTGGATCCTTCCTTTTGATAGAGCAGTTTTGAAACACTGTTTTTGTAGTATTTCCAAGCGGATATTTGGAACGCCTTGAAGCGTATGGTAGAAAAGGAAATATCTTCCCATAAAACCTAGACAGAACCAATCTCAGAAACGACTTTGTGATGTCTGCATTCAACTCACAGAGTTGAACATTTCTCTTGATAGAGCAGTTTTGAAACCCTCTTTCTGAAGGATCTGCAAGTGGATATTTGGAACTCCTTTGGGTCTTCGTTGGAAACGGGATCTCTTCATATAAATCGAGACAGAAGAATTCTCCGAAACTTCTTTGGTTGTGTGCATTCAAGTCACAGAGTGGAACCTTCCTTTGGATAGAGCAGTTTGAAACGCTGTGGTTGTAGTATTTCCAAGCGGATATTAGAGCGCCTTGAGGCCTATGGTAGAAAAGGAAATATCTTCTCATAAAACCTAGACTTAAGCAATCTCAGAAACTACTGTGTGATGGCTGCATTCCACACACACGGTGGAACATTTCTCTTGATAGAGCAGTTTTGAAACACTCTTTCTGTAGAATCTGCAAGTGGATAATTGGACCGCCTTGAGGCCTTCGTTGGAAACGGGATTTCTTCATGTTACTCTAGACAGAAGAATTCTCAAACACTGCTATGTGATGTTTGCATTCAAGTCACAGAGTGCAACATTCCTCTTGATAGAGCAGTTGGGAAACACTCCTTTTGTAGAATTTGCAATGGGATATTTGGACTTCTTTGAGGCCTTCGTTGGAAACGGGATTTCTTCGTATGAATCTAGACAGAAGAATTCTCAGAAACTTCCTTGTGATGTGTGCATTCAACTCAGCGAGTGGCACCTTCCTTTGGATACAGCAGTTTTGAAACACTGTTTTTGTAGTATTTCCAAGCGGATATTTAGAGCGCCTTGAAGCCTATGCTAGAAATGGAAATATCTCCCCATAAAACCAAGACAGAAAGCAATCTCAGAAACTAATGTGTGATGGCTGCATTCCACACACACGGTGGACCATTTCTCTTGATAGAGCAGTTTTGAAACACTCTTTCTGTAGAATCTGCAAGTGGATAATTGGACCTCCTAGAGGCCTTCGTTGGAAACGGGATTTCTTCATCTAAACCTACAGAGAAGAATTCTCAGTAACTTCTTCGGATGTGTGCATTCGACTCACAGAATGGAACATTCCCTTTGGTAGAGCAGTTTTGAGACACCGTTTTTGTAGAATTCCCAAGTGGATATTTAGAGCACTTTGAAGTCTCTGCTAGAAAAGGAAACATCTTCATGTAAAAAGTAGATAGAATCGTTCTCAGAAAGTGCTTAGTGACGTGTGCGTTCAACTCACAGAGTTTAACGTTTCTTTTGATAGAGCGTTTCTGAAACACCCTTCTTGTAGTAGCTGCAAGTGGATATTTGGACCTATTTGAGGCCTTCTTTGGAAACGGGATTTCTTCATGTAACTCTAGATTGAAGAATTTTCAGAAACTCCTTTGTGATGTGTGCATTCAATTCAAAGAGTGAAACCTCCCTTTTCACAGAGCAGTTTTGAAACACTGTTTTTGTAGGATTTCCAAGGGGATATTTATAGCGCATTGAGCCTATGGCAGAAAAAGAAACATCTTCCTATAAAAACTAGACAGAATAATTCTCAGAATCTGCTTTGCGATGTGTGCGTTCAACTCACAGAGTAAAACTTTTCTTTTGATAGAGCAGTTTTGAAACACTCTTTTTGTAGTATTTGCATGTGTATATTTAGAGCGCATTGAAGCCCACAGTAGAAAAGGAAATAACTTCACCTAAAACCTAGACAGAAGCAATCTCAGAAACTACTTTGTGATGTGTACATTCAACTCACAGAGTGGAACTTTTCTCTTTATAGAGCAGTGTTGAAACACTCTTTTTGTAGAAACTGCAAGTGGATATTTGGACCTCTTTGAGGCCTTCGTTGGAAACGGGATTTCTTCCTATAACCCTAGACAGAAGAATTTTCAGAAACCTCATTGTGATGTGTGCGTTCATCTCACAGAGTGGAGTCTTCCGTTTGATAGAGAAGTTTTGAAACCCTGTTCTTGTAGGATTTCCAAGTGGATATTTAGACCACTTTGAAGCCTATGATAGAAAAGGAAACATCTTCATGGAAAACATAGATAGAATCATTCTCAGAAACAACTTTGTGATGTGTGCGTTGAACTCGCCGTCTTTAACCTTTCTTTTGGTAGAGAAGTTTTGAAACACTCTCTTTGTAAAGTCTACAAGTGGATATTTTGAGCCCTTGGAGGCATTCTTTGGAAAAGGGAATGTCTTCACATAAAAGGCAGACAGAAGTGTTCTCAGAAACTGCTTTGTGATGTCTGTGTTCAACTCACAGAGTTTAACATTTCCTTTGAGAGAGCGGTTTAGTAACACTCTCTTTGTAGAATTTGGAAGTGTATACTAAGAGCGCTTTGAGGCCTATGGTAGAAAAGGAAATATCTTTCCATAAAAGCTAGACAGAAGCAATCTCAGAAACTCCTTTGTGATGTCTGCATTCAACTCACTGAGTGGAACATTCCTCTTGATAGAGCAGTTTGGAAACACTCTTTCTGTAGAATCAGCTTGTTTGTATTTGGACCTCCTTGAGGCCTTCGTTGGAAACGAGTTTTCATCTTATAAACCCAGACAGAAGAATTCTCAGAGTCTTCTTTGTGATGTGTGCTTTCAACTCACCGAGATAAAGATTTCTCTTGATAGAGCAATTTAGAAACACTCTTTTTGTAGAATTTGCAAGGGTACATTGAGAGCGCTTTCAGGCCTATGGTAGAAAAGGGAATATCTTTCCATCAAAGGTAGACAGAAGCAATCTCAGAAACTACTTTGTGATGTGTGCATTCAACTCACCGAGTGCAACATTCCTCTTGACCGAGCAGTTTGGAAACATTGTTTCTGTAGAATCTGCAAGTGGATATTTGGACCTCTTTGAGGCCTTCGTTGGAAACGGGATTTCTTCCTATAAACCCAGACAGAAGAATTCTCAGAGACTTCTTTCTGATGTGTGAATTCAACTCACAGTGTGGATCCTTCCTTTTGATAGAGCAGTTTTGAAACACTGTTTTTGTAGTATTTCCAAGCGGATATTTGGAACGCCTTGAAGCGTATGGTAGAAAAGGAAATATCTTCCCATAAAACCTAGACAGAACCCATCTCAGAAACGACTTTGTGATGTCTGCATTCAACTCACAGAGTTGAACATTTCTCTTGATAGAGCAGTTTTGAAACCCTCTTTCTGAAGGATCTGCAAGTGGATATTTGGAACTCCTTTGGGTCTTCGTTGGAAACGGGATTTCTTCGTATAAATCCAGACAGAAGAATTCTCCGAAACTTCTTTGGTTGTGTGCATTCAAGTCACAGAGTGGAACCTTCCTTTGGATAGAGCAGTTTGAAACGCTCTGGTTGTAGTATTTCCAAGCGGATATTAGAGCGCCTTGAAGCCTATGGTAGAAAAGGAAATATCTTCCCATAAAACCTAGACGGAAGCAATCTCAGAAACTACTGTGTGATGGCTGCATTCCACACACACGGTGGAACATTTCTCTTGATAGAGCAGTTTTGAAACACTCTTTCTGTAGAATCTGCAAGTGGATAATTGGACCGCCTTGAGGCCTTCGTTGGAAACGGGATTTCTTCATGTTACTCTAGACAGAAGAATTCTCAAACACTGCTGTGTGATGTTTGCATGCAAGTCACAGTAGTGCAACATTCCTCTTGATAGAGCAGTTGGGAAACACTCCTTTTGTAGAATTTGCAATGGGATATTTGGACTTCTTTGAGGCCTTCGTTGGAAACGGGATTTCTTCGTATGAATCTAGACAGAAGAATTCTCAGAAACTTCCTTGTGATGTGTGCATTCAACTCAGCGAGTGGCACCTTCCTTTGGATACAGCAGTTTTGAAACACTGTTTTTGTACTATTTCCAAGCGGATATTTAGAGCGCCTTGAAGCCTATGCTAGAAATGGAAATATCTCCCCATAAAACCAAGACAGAAGCAATCTCAGAAACTAATGTGTGATGGCTGCATTCCACACACACGGTGGACCATTTCTCTTGATAGAGCAGTTTTGAAACACTCTTTCTGTAGAATCTGCAAGTGGATAATTGGACCTCCTAGAGGCCTTCGTTGGAAACGGGATTTCTTCATCTAAACCTACAGAGAAGAATTCTCAGTAACTTCTTCGGATGTGTGCATTCGACTCACAGAATGGAACATTCCGTTTGATAGAGCAGTTTTGAGACACCGTTTTTGTAGAATTCCCAAGTGGATATTTAGAGCACTTTGAAGTCTGCTGCTAGAAAAGGAAACATCTTCATGTAAAAAGTAGATAGAATCGTTCTCAGAAAGTGCTTAGTGACGTGTGTGTTCAACTCACAGGGTTTAACGTTTCTTTTGTTAGAGCGTTTCTGAAACACCCTTCTTGTAGTAGCTGCAAGTGGATATTTGGACCTATTTGAGGCCTTCTTTGTAAACGGGATTTCTTCATGTAACTCTAGATTGAAGAATTTTCAGAAACTCCTTTGTGATGTGTGCATTCAATTCAAAGAGTGAAACCTCCCTTTTCACAGAGCAGTTTTGAAACACTGTTTTTGTAGGATTTCCAAGGGGATATTTATAGCGCATTGAGCCTACGGCAGAAAAAGAAACATCTTCCTATAAAAACTAGACAGAATAATTCTCAGAATCTGCTTTGCGATGTGTGCGTTCAACTCACAGAGTAAAACTTTTCTTTTGATAGAGCAGTTTTGAAACACTCTTTTTGTAGTATTTGCATGTGTATATTTAGAGCGCATTGAAGCCCACAGTAGAAAAGGAAATAACTTCACCTAAAACCTAGACAGAAGCAATCTCAGAAACTATTTTGTGATGTGTACATTCAACTCACAGAGTGGAACTTTCCTCTTTATAGAGCAGTGTTGAAACACTCTTTTTGTAGAAACTGCAAGTGGATATTTGGACCTCTTTGAGGCCTTCGTTGGAAACGGGATTTCTTCCTATAACCCTAGACAGAAGAATTTTCAGAAACCTCATTGTGATGTGTGCGTTCATCTCACAGAGTGGAGTCTTCCGTTTGATAGAGAAGTTTTGAAACCCTGTTCTTGTAGGATTTCCAAGTGGATATTTAGACCACTTTGAAGCCTATGATAGAAAAGGAAACATCTTCATGGAAAACATAGATAGAATCATTCTCAGAAACAACTTTGTGATGTGTGCGTTGAACTCACCGTCTTTAACCTTTCTTTTGGTAGAGAAGTTTTGAAACACTCTCTTTGTAAAGTCTACAAGTGGATATTTTGAGCCCTTGGAGGCATTCTTTGGAAAAGGGAATGTCTTCACATAAAAGGCAGACAGAAGTGTTCTCAGAAACTGCTTTGTGATGTCTGTGTTCAACTCACAGAGTTTAACATTTCCTTTGAGAGAGCGGTTTAGTAACACTCTCTTTGTAGAATTTGGAAGTGTATACTAAGAGCGCTTTGAGGCCTATGGTAGAAAAGGAAATATCTTTCCATAAAAGCTAGACAGAAGCAATCTCAGAAACTCCTTTGTGATGTCTGCATTCAACTCACCGAGTGGAACATTCCTCTTGATAGAGCAGTTTGGAAACACTCTTTCTGTAGAATCAGCTTGTTTGTATTTGGACCTCCTTGAGGCCTTCGTTGGAAACGGGTTTTCATCTTATAAACCCAGACAGAAGAATTCTCAGAGTCTTCTTTGTGATGTGTGCTTTCAACTCACCGAGATAAAGATTTCTCTTGATAGAGCAATTTGGAAACACTCTTTTTGTAGAATTTGCAAGGGTACATTGAGAGCGCTTTCAGGCCTATGGTAGAAAAGGGAATATCTTTCCATAAAAGGTAGACAGAAGCAATCTCAGAAACTACTTTGTGATGTGTGCATTCAACTCACCGAGTGCAACATTCCTCTTGACCGAGCAGTTTGGAAACATTGTTTCTGTAGAATCTGCAAGTGGATATTTGGACCTCTTTGAGGCCTTCGTTGGAAACGGGATTTCTTCCTATAAACCCAGACAGAAGAATTCTCAGAGATTTCTTTGTGATGTGTGAATTCAACTCACAGTGTGGATCCTTCCTTTTGATAGAGCAGTTTTGAAACACCGTTTTTGTAGTATTTCCAAGCGGATATTTGGAACGCCTTGAAGCGTATGGTAGAAAAGGAAATATCTTCCCATAAAACCTAGACAGAACCCATCTCAGAAACGACTTTGTGATGTCTGCATTCAACTCACAGAGTTGAACATTTCTCTTGATAGAGCAGTTTTGAAACCCTCTTTCTGAAGGATCTGCAAGTGGATATTTGGAACTCCTTTGGGTCTTCGTTGGAAACGGGATTTCTTCGGTATAAATCCAGACAGAAGAATTCTCCGAAACTTCTTTGGTTGTGTGCATTCAAGTCACAGAGTGGAACCTTCCTTTGGATAGAGCAGTTTGAAACGCTGTGGTTGTAGTATTTCCAAGCGGATATTAGAGCGCCTTGAGGCCTATGGTAGAAAAGGAAATATCTTCCCATAAAACCTAGACGGAAGCAATCTCAGAAACTACTGTGTGATGGCTGCATTCCACACACACGGTGGAACATTTCTCTTGATAGAGCAGTTTTGAAACACTCTTTCTGTAGAATCTGCAAGTGGATAATTGGACCGCCTTGAGGCCTTCGTTGGAAACGGGATTTCTTCATGTTACTCTAGACAGAAGAATTCTCAAACACTGCTATGTGATGTTTGCATTCAAGTCACAGAGTGCAACATTCCTCTTGATAGAGCAGTTGGGAAACACTCCTTTTGTAGAATTTGCAATGGGATATTTGGACTTCTTTGAGGCCTTCGTTGGAAACGGGATTTCTTCGTATGAATCTAGACAGAAGAATTCTCAGAAACTTCCTTGTGATGTGTGCATTCAACTCAGCGAGTGGCACCTTCCTTTGGATACAGCAGTTTTGAAACACTGTTTTTGTACTATTTCCAAGCGGATATTTAGAGCGCCTTGAAGCCTATGCTAGAAATGGAAATATCTCCCCATAAAACCAAGACAGAAGCAATCTCAGAAACTAATGTGTGATGGCTGCATTCCACACACACGGTGGACCATTTCTCTTGATAGAGCAGTTTTGAAACACTCTTTCTGTAGAATCTGCAAGTGGATAATTGGACCTCCTAGAGGCCTTCGTTGGAAACGGGATTTCTTCATCTAAACCTACAGAGAAGAATTCTCAGTAACTTCTTCGGATGTGTGCATTCGACTCACAGAATGGAACATTCCCTTTGATAGAGCAGTTTTGAGACACCGTTTTTGTAGAATTCCCAAGTGGATATTTAGAGCACTTTGAACTCTCTGCTAGAAAAGGAAACATCTTCATGTAAAAAGTAGATAGAATCGTTCTCAGAAAGTGCTTAGTGACGTGTGTGTTCAACTCACAGAGTTTAACGTTTCTTTTGATAGAGCGTTTCTGAAACACCCTTCTTGTAGTAGCTGCAAGTGGATATTTGGACCTATTTGAGGCCTTCTTTGGAAACGGGATTTCTTCATGTAACTCTAGATTGAAGAATTTTCAGAAACTCCTTTGTGATGTGTGCATTCAATTCAAAGAGTGAAACCTCCCTTTTCACAGAGCAGTTTTGAAACACTGTTTTTGTAGGATTTCCAAGGGGATATTTATAGCGCATTGAGCCTACGGCAGAAAAAGAAACATCTTCCTATAAAAACTAGACAGAATAATTCTCAGAATCTGCTTTGCCATGTGTGCATTCAACTCACAGAGTAAAACTTTTCTTTTGATAGAGCAGTTTTGAAACACTCTTTTTGTAGTATTTGCATGTGTATATTTAGAGCGCATTGAAGCCCACAGTAGAAAAGGAAATAACTTCACCTAAAACCTAGACAGAAGCAATCTCAGAAACTATTTTGTGATGTGTACATTCAACTCACAGAGTGGAACTTTCCTCTTTATAGAGCAGTGTTGAAACACTCTTTTTGTAGAAACTGCAAGTGGATATTTGGACCTCTTTGAGGCCTTCGTTGGAAACGGGATTTCTTCCTATAACCCTAGACAGAAGAATTTTCAGAAACCTCATTGTGATGTGTGCGTTCATCTCACAGAGTGGAGTCTTCCGTTTGATAGAGAAGTTTTGAAACCCTGTTCTTGTAGGATTTCCAAGTGGATATTTAGACCACTTTGAAGCCTATGATAGAAAAGGAAACATCTTCATGGAAAACATAGATAGAATCATTGTCAGAAACAACTTTGTGATGTGTGCGTTGAACTCACCGTCTTTAACCTTTCTTTTGGTAGAGAAGTTTTGAAACACTCTCTTTGTAAAGTCTACAAGTGGATATTTTGAGCCCTTGGAGGCATTCTTTGGACAAGGGAATGTCTTCACATAAAAGGCAGACAGAAGTGTTCTCAGAAACTGCTTTGTGATGTCTGTGTTCAACTCACAGAGTTTAACATTTCCTTTGAGAGAGCGGTTTAGTAACACTCTCTTTGTAGAATTTGGAAGTGTATACTAAGAGCCGCTTTGAGGCCTATGGTAGAAAAGGAAATATCTTTCCATAAAAGCTAGACAGAAGCAATCTCAGAAACTCCTTTGTGATGTCTGCATTCAACTCACCGAGTGGAACATTCCTCTTGATAGAGCAGTTTGGAAACACTCTTTCTGTAGAATCAGCTTGTTTGTATTTGGACCTCCTTGAGGCCTTCGTTGGAAACGGGTTTTCATCTTATAAACCCAGACAGAAGAATTCTCAGAGTCTTCTTTGTGATGTGTGCTTTCAACTCACCGAGATAAAGATTTCTCTTGATAGAGCAATTTGGAAACACTCTTTTTGTAGACTTTGCAAGGGTACATTGAGAGCGCTTTCAGGCCTATGGTAGAAAAGGGAATATCTTTCCATCAAAGGTAGACAGAAGCAATCTCAGAAACTACTTTGTGATGTGTGCATTCAACTCACCGAGTGCAACGTTCCTCTTGATAGAGCAGTTTGGAAACATTGTTTCTGTAGAATCTGCAAGTGGATATTTGGACCTCTTTGAGGCCTTCGTTGGAAACGGGATTTCTTCCTATAAACCCAGACAGAAGAATTCTCAGAGACTTCTTTGTGATGTGTGAATTCAACTCACAGTGTGGATCCTTCCTTTTGATAGAGCAGTTTTGAAACACTGTTTTTGTAGTATTTCCAAGCGGATATTTGGAACGCCTTGAAGCGTATGGTAGAAAAGGAAATATCTTCCCATAAAACCTAGACAGAACCAATCTCAGAAACGACTTTGTGATGTCTGCATTCAACTCACAGAGTTGAACATTTCTCTTGATAGAGCAGTTTTGAAACCCTCTTTCTGAAGGATCTGCAAGTGGATATTTGGAACTCCTTTGGGTCTTCGTTGGAAACGGGATTTCTTCGTATAAATCTAGACAGAAGAATTCTCCGAAACTTCTTTGGTTGTGTGCATTCAAGTCACAGAGTGGAACCTTCCTTTGGATAGAGCAGTTTGAAACGCTGTGGTTGTAGTATTTCCAAGCGGATATTAGAGCGCCTTGAGGCCTATGGTAGAAAAGGAAATATCTTCCCATAAAACCTAGACGGAAGCAATCTCAGAAACTACTGTGTGATGGCTGCATTCCACACACACGGTGGAACATTTCTCTTGATAGAGCAGTTTTGAAACACTCTTTCTGTAGAATCTGCAAGTGGATAATTGGACCGCCTTGAGGCCTTCGTTGGAAAGGGGATTTCTTCATGTTACTCTAGACAGAAGAATTCTCAAACACTGCTATGTGATGTTTGCATTCAAGTCACAGAGTGCAACATTCCTCTTGATAGAGCAGTTGGGAAACACTCCTTTTGTAGAATTTGCAATGGGATATTTGGACTTCTTTGAGGCCTTCGTTGGAAACGGGATTTCTTCGTATGAATCTAGACAGAAGTATTCTCAGAAACTTCCTTGTGATGTGTGCATTCAACTCAGCGAGTGGCACCTTCCTTTGGATACAGCAGTTTTGAAACACTGTTTTTGTACTATTTCCAAGCGGATATTTAGAGCGCCTTGAAGCCTATGCTAGAAATGGAAATATCTCCCCATAAAACCAAGACAGAAGCAATCTCAGAAACTAATGTGTGATGGCTGCATTCCACACACACGGTGGACCATTTCTCTTGATAGAGCAGTTTTGAAACACTCTTTCTGTAGAATCTGCAAGTGGATAATTGGACCTCCTAGAGGCCTTCGTTGGAAACGGGATTTCTTCATCTAAACCTACAGAGAAGAATTCTCAGTAACTTCTTCGGATGTGTGCATTCGACTCACAGAATGGAACATTCCGTTTGATAGAGCAGTTTTGAGACACCTTTTTTGTAGAATTCCCAAGTGGATATTTAGAGCACTTTGAAGTCTCTGCTAGAAAAGGAAACATCTTCATGTAAAAAGTAGATAGAATCGTTCTCAGAAAGTGCTTAGTGACGTGTGTGTTCAACTCACAGAGTTTAACGTTTCTTTTGATAGAGCGTTTCTGAAACACCCTGCTTGTAGTAGCTGCAAGTGGATATTTGGACCTATCCCTTCTTTGGAAACGGGATTTCTTCATGTAACTCTAGTTTGAAGAATTTTCAGAAACTCCTTTGTGATGTGTGCATTCAATTCAAAGAGTGAAACCTCCCTTTTCACAGAGCAGTTTTGAAACACTGTTTTTGTAGGATTTCCAAGGGGATATTTATAGCGCATTGATCCTATGGCAGAAAAATAAACATCTTCCTATAAAAACTAGACAGAATAATTCTCAGAATCTGCTTTGCGATGTGTGCGTTCAACCCACAGAGTAAAACTTTTCTTTTGATAGAGCAGTTTTGAAACACTCTTTTTGTAGTATTTGCATGTGTATATTTAGAGCGCATTGAAGCCCACAGTAGAAAAGGAAATAACTTCACCTAAAACCTAGACAGAAGCAATCTCAGAAACTACTTTGTGATATGTACATTCAACTCACAGAGTGGAACTTTCCTCTTTATAGAGCAGTGTTGAAACACTCTTTTTGTAGAAACTGCAAGTGGATATTTTGACCTCTTTGAGGCCTTCGTTGGAAACGGGATTTCTTCCTATAACCCTAGACAGAAGAATTTTCAGAAACCTCATTGTGATGTGTGCGTTCATCTCACAGAGTGGGGTCTTCCGTTTGATAGAGAAGTTTTGAAACCCTGTTCTTGTAGGATTTCCAAGTGGATATTTAGACCACTTTGAAGCCTATGATAGAAAAGGAAACATCTTCATGGAAAACATAGATAGAATCATTCTCAGAAACAACTTTGTGATGTGTACGTTGAACTCACCGTCTTTAACCTTTCTTTTGGTAGAGAAGTTTTGAAACACTCTCTTTGTAAAGTCTACAAGTGGATATTTTGAGCCCTTGGAGGCATTCTTTGGAAAAGGGAATGTCTTCACATAAAAGGCAGACAGAAGTGTTCTCAGAAACTGCTTTGTGATGTCTGTGTTCAACTAACAGAGTGTAACATTTCCTTTGAGAGAGCGGTTTAGTAACACTCTCTTTGTAGAATTTGGAAGTGTATACTAAGAGCGCTTTGAGGCCTATGGTAGAAAAGGAAATATCTTTCCATAAAAGCTAGACAGAAGCAATCTCAGAAACTCCTTTGTGATGTCTGCATTCAACTCACCGAGTGGAACATTCCTCTTGATAGAGCAGTTTGGAAACACTCTTTCTGTAGAATCAGCTTGTTTGTATTTGGACCTCCTTGAGGCCTTCGTTGGAAACGGGTTTTCATCTTATAAACCCAGACAGAAGAATTCTCAGAGTCTTCTTTGTGATGTGTGCTTTCAACTCACCGAGATAAAGATTTCTCTTGATAGAGCAATTTGGAAACACTCTTTTTGTAGAATTTGCAAGGGTACATTGAGAGCGCTTTCAGGCCTATGGTAGAAAAGGGAATATCTTTCCATCAAAGGTAGACAGAAGCAATCTCAGAAACTACTTTGTGATGTGTGCATTCAACTCACCGAGTGCTACATTCCTCTTGATAGAGCAGTTTGGAAACATTGTTTCTGTAGAATCTGCAAGTGGATGTATGGACCGCTTTGAGGCCTTCGTTGGAAACGGGATTTCTTCCTATAAACCCAGACAAAAGAATTCTCAGAGACTTCTTTGTGATGTGTGAATTCAACTCACAGTGTGGATCCTTCCTTTTGATAGAGCAGTTTTGAAACACTGTTTTTGTAGTATTTCCAAGCGGATATTTGGAACGCCTTGAAGCGTATGGTAGAAAAGGAAATATCTTCCCATAAAACCTAGACAGAACCCATCTCAGAAACGACTTTGTGATGTCTGCATTCAACTCACAGAGTTGAACATTTCTCTTGATAGAGCAGTTTTGAAACCCTCTTTCTGAAGGATCTGCAAGTGGATATTTGGAACTCCTTTGGGTCTTCATTGGAAACGGGATTTCTTCGTATAAATCCAGACAGAAGAATTCTCCGAAACTTCTTTGGTTGTGTGCATTCAAGTCACAGAGTGGAACCTTCCTTTGGATAGAGCAGTTTGAAACGCTGTGGTTGTAGTATTTCCAAGCGGATATTAGAGCGCCTTGAAGCCTATGGTAGAAAAGGAAATATCTTCCCATAAAACCTAGACGGAAGCAATCTCAGAAACTACTGTGTGATGGCTGCATTCCACACACACGGTGGAACATTTCTCTTGATAGAGCAGTTTTGAAACACTCTTTCTGTAGAATCTGCAAGTGGATAATTGGACCGCCTTGAGGCCTTCGTTGGAAACGGGATTTCTTCATGTTACTCTAGACAGAAGAATTCTCAAACACTGCTATGTGATGTTTGCATTCAAGTCACAGAGTGCAACATTCCTCTTGATAGAGCAGTTGGGAAACACTCCTTTTGTAGAATTTGCAATGGGATATTTGGACTTCTTTGAGGCCTTCGTTGGAAACGGGTTTTCGTCGTATGAATCTAGACAGAAGAATTCTCAGAAACTTCCTTGTGATGTGTGCATTCAACTCATCGAGTGGCACCTTCCTTTTGATACAGCAGTTTTGAAACACTGTTTTTGTACTATTTCCAAGCGGATATTTAGAGCGCCTTGAAGCCTATGCTAGAAATGGAAATATCTCCCCATAAAACCAAGACAGAAGCAATCTCAGAAACTAATGTGTGATGGCTGCATTCCACACACACGGTGGACCATTTCTCTTGATAGAGCAGTTTTGAAACACTCTTTCTGTAGAATCTGCAAGTGGATAATTGGACCTCCTAGAGGCCTTCGTTGGAAACGGGATTTCTTCATCTAAACCTACAGAGAAGAATTCTCAGTAACTTCTTCGGATGTGTGCATTCGACTCACAGAATGGAACATTCCGTTTGATAGAGCAGTTTTGAGACACCGTTTTTGTAGAATTCCCAAGTGGATATTTAGAGCACTTTGAAGTCTCTGCTAGAAAAGGAAACATCTTCATGTAAAAAGTAGATAGAATCGTTCTCAGAAAGTGCTTAGTGACGTGTGCGTTCAACTCACAGAGTTTAACGTTTCTTTTGATAGAGCGTTTCTGAAACACCCTTCTTGTAGTAGCTGCAAGTGGATATTTGGACCTATTTGAGGCCTTCTTTGGAAACGGGATTTCTTCATGTAACTCTAGTTTGAAGAATTTTCAGAAACTCCTTTGTGATGTGTGCATTCAATTCAAAGAGTGAAACCTCCCTTTTCACAGAGCAGTTTTGAAACACTGTTTTTGTAGGATTTCCAAGGGGATATTTATAGCGCATTGAGCCTATGGCAGAAAAAGAAACATCTTCCTATAAAAACCAGACAGAATAATTCTCAGAATCTGGTTTGCCATGTGTGCGTTCAACTCACAGAGTAAAACATTTCTTTTGATAGAGCAGTCTTGAAACACTCTTTTTGTAGTATTTGCATGTGTATATTTAGAGCGCATTGAAGCCCACAGTAGAAAAGGAAATAACTTCACCTAAAACCTAGACAGAAGCAATCTCAGAAACTACTTTGTGATGTGTACATTCAACTCACAGAGTGGAACTTTCCTCTTTATAGAGCAGTGTTGAAACACTCTTTTTGTAGAAACTGCAAGTGGATATTTGGACCTCTTTGAGGCCTTCGTTGGAAACGGGATTTCTTCCTATAACCCTAGACAGAAGAATTTTCAGAAACCTCATTGTGATGTGTGCGTTCATCTCACAGAGTGGAGTCTTCCGTTTGATAGAGAAGCTTTGAAACCCTGTTCTTGTAGGATTTCCAAGTGGATATTTAGACCACTTTGAAGCCTATGATAGAAAAGGAAACATCTTCATGGAAAACATAGATAGAATCATTGTCAGAAACAACTTTGTGATGTGTGCGTTGAACTCACCGTCTTTAACCTTTCTTTTGGTAGAGAAGTTTTGAAACACTCTCTTTGTAAAGTCTACAAGTGGATATTTTGAGCCCTTGGAGGCATTCTTTGGAAAAGGGAATGTCTTCACATAAAAGGCAGACAGAAGTGTTCTCAGAAACTGCTTTGTGATGTCTGTGTTCAACTCACAGAGTTTAACATTTCCTTTGAGAGAGCGGTTTAGTAACACTCTCTTTGTAGAATTTGGAAGTGTATACTAAGAGCGCTTTGAGGCCTATGGTAGAAAAGGAATTATCTTTCCATAAAAGCTAGACAGAAGCAGTCTCAGAAACTCCTTTGTGATGTCTGCATTCAACTCACCGAGTGGAACATTCCTCTTGATAGAGCAGTTTGGAAACACTCTTTCTGTAGAATCAGCTTGTTTGTATTTGGACCTCCTTGAGGCCTTCGTTGGAAACGGGTTTTCATTTTATAAACCCAGACAGAAGAATTCTCAGAGTCTTCTTTGTGATGTGTGCTTTCAACTCACCGAGATAAAGATTTCTCTTGATAGAGCAATTTGGAAACACTCTTTTTGTAGAATTTGCAAGGGTACATTGAGAGCGCTTTCAGGCCTATGGTAGAAAAGGGAATATCTTTCCATAAAAGGTAGACAGAAGCAATCTCAGAAACTACTTTGTGATGTGTGCATTCAACTCACCGAGTGCAACATTCCTCTTGACCGAGCAGTTTGGAAACATTGTTTCTGTAGAATCTGCAAGTGGATATTTGGACCTCTTTGAGGCCTTCGTTGGCAACGGGATTTCTTCCTATAAACCCAGACAGAAGAATTCTCAGAGACTTCTTTGTGATGTGTGAATTCAACTCACAGTGTGGATCCTTCCTTTTGATAGAGCAGTTTTGAAACACTGTTTTTGTAGTATTTCCAAGCGGATATTTGGAACGCCTTGAAGCGTATGGTAGAAAAGGAAATATCTTCCCATAAAACCTAGACAGAACCCATCTCAGAAACGACTTTGTGATGTCTGCATTCAACTCACAGAGTTGAACATTTCTCTTGATAGAGCAGTTTTGAAACCCTCTTTCTGAAGGATCTGCAAGTGGATATTTGGAACTCCTTTGGGTCTTCGTTGGAAACGGGATTTCTTCGTATAAATCCAGACAGAAGAATTCTCCGAAACTTCTTTGGTTGTGTGCATTCAAGTCACAGAGTGGAACCTTCCTTTGGATAGAGCAGTTTGAAACGCTGTGGTTGTAGTATTTCCAAGCGGATATTAGAGCGCCTTGAAGCCTATGGTAGAAAAGGAAATATCTTCCCATAAAACCTAGACGGAAGCAATCTCAGAAACTACTGTGTGATGGCTGCATTCCACACACACGGTGGAACATTTCTCTTGATAGAGCAGTTTTGAAACACTCTTTCTGTAGAATCTGCAAGTGGATAATTGGACCGCCTTGAGGCCTTCGTTGGAAACGGGATTTCTTCATGTTACTCTAGATAGAAGAATTCTCAAACACTACTATGTGATGTTTGCATTCAAGTCACAGAGTGCAACATTCCTCTTGATAGAGCAGTTGGGAAACACTCCTTTTGTAGAATTTGCAATGGGATATTTGGACTTCTTTGCGGCCTTCGTTGGAAACGGGATTTACTTCTTATAAATCTAGACAGAAGAATTCTCAGAAACTTCCTTGTGATGTGTGCATTCAACTCAGCGAGTGGCACCTTCCTTTGGATACAGCAGTTTTGAAACACTGTTTTTGTAGTATTTCCAAGCGGATATTTAGAGCGCCTTGAAGCCTATGCTAGAAATGGAAATATCTCCCCATAAAACCAAGACAGAAGCAATCTCAGAAACTAATGTGTGATGGCTGCATTCCACACACACGGTGGACCATTTCTCTTGATAGAGCAGTTTTGAAACACTCTTTCTGTAGAATCTGCAAGTGGATAATTGGACCTCCTAGAGGCCTTAGTTGGAAATGGGATTTCTTCATCTAAACCTACAGAGAAGAATTCTCAGTAACTTCTTCGGATGTGTGCATTCGACTCACAGAATGGAACATTCCGTTTGATAGAGCAGTTTTGAGACACCGTTTTTGTAGAATTCCCAAGTGGATATTTAGAGCACTTTGAAGTCTCTGCTAGAAAAGGAAACATCTTCATGTAAAAAGTAGATAGAATCGTTCTCAGAAAGTGCTTAGTGACGTGTGCGTTCAACTCACAGAGTTTAACGTTTCTTTTGATAGAGCGTTTCTGAAACACCCTGCTTGTAGTAGCTGCAAGTGGATATTTGGACCTATTTGAGGCCTTCTTTGGAAACGGGATTTCTTCATGTAACTCTAGATTGAAGAATTTTCAGAAACTCCTTTGTGATGTGTGCATTCAATTCAAAGAGTGAAACCTCCCTTTTCACAGAGCAGTTTTGAAACACTGTTTTTGTAGGATTTCCAAGGGGATATTTATAGCGCATTGAGCCTATGGCAGAAAAAGAAACATCTTCCTATAAAAACTAGACAGAATAATTCTCAGAATCTGCTTTGCGATGTGTGCGTTCAACTCACAGAGTAAAACTTTTCTTTTGATAGAGCAGTTTTGAAACACTCTTTTTGTAGTATTTGCATGTGTATATTTAGAGCGCATTGAAGCCCACAGTAGAAAAGGAAATAACTTCACCTAAAACCTAGACAGA